>NC_000010.11:15919090-16070606 GCF_000001405.40 Homo sapiens | reverse complement strand
TAGCTAACCTTCCAGGATCGCATCATTCTGATACCACTTAACTGTTTTAAATTACCAAGAAAAAAGGAAGATTATCACAGGCTTATGAAAGTTTTTGTAGATCTTGGTCAATACCAAAACCTGTTTAATATATTCTTGCTTGTTGTAGAGGACCAACTACATGCTGCCTATAAAATATACTTTACATACAAAGACATAAATAGATTAAAACTAAAAGAGTAGAAAGTGATGTACCATGCTAACACTAGCCAAAATAAAGCTGGTATAGTTATATTACTATTGTATGAAGTGAACTTTAGAGCAAAGGACATTTCCAGTTATTTAAAAAACTACTTTTATTAATCAGTTAAGCGGTTAAGATAATTGTTAAGATAAAATAAATGTAAATATTTATGTCTGTTACAACAGTGTTTCAAAATACTTGAAGCAGAAACCTAATAGAAATGAAAGGAGAAATAGATAAATCTGCAGTTATAGTGAGATTTTCTTACTCTTTTTTCAATAACTGATAAATAGAAAATTAGTAAGGATATAAAAATCTGGACAATATTAGTGTATTGACCTAACTGACATGTAGAACTCTCACACAAAAATGGAAGAATTCTCAGACTTTTCATGTCAACCTGGAAAGAGTATAAAGATAAATCACATTCTGAGGCAGAAAACAAGTGTAAGTAAATATAAAAAGGCTCCTAGTCATATAAAGTATATTCTCCAATCATATTTGAATTAAGATGAAAATCAACAGGAAGATATAAAAAATCTGCACATATTTGGAAACTAAATAAAAACCCATGGATCAAATAAAATATTGAAGGGAAATTAGAAAGTATTTTGAAATGAATAAAAATAGACACGTGACATATCAAAACTTGTAGATGTCACAAAGAAGTGCTATGAGCTAATTTAGAGGATTAAACAACTATATTGTAAAGAAACAAAAAGTCTCAAATCTTAAGGTGAGCCTTAAGAAAACGAAAAGGTCAAATAAATGCTAAGTAGATTGTAAGAAAGAAATAATAAATAACAGAGCAAAAGTCAATGAAATAGAAAACTAAAAATACGGAAAATGAAATCAAAACCAGGTTCTTTTTTTAATGTTTATTTTAAGTTCAGAGATACATGTGCAGGTTTGTTACATAGGTAAATTGGTGTCATGGGAGTTTTTGTACAGATTATTTCATTATTCAGGTATTAAACCTAGTGCCCATTAGTTATTTTTCCTGATCTTCTCCCTCCTCCGCCCTCCAAAAGGCCCCAGTGTGTGTTGTTCCCCTCTATGTGTCCATGTATTCTCACCATTTAGCTCCCACTTATAAGTGAGAACATGTAGTATTTGGTTTTCAGTTCCCGCATTAGTTTGCTAAGGATAATGGCCTCCAGCTCCATCCATGTCCCTGCAAAGGACATTATCTCATTCTTTATCATGGCTATATAAAAACCTGATTCTTAACAACATGTCAATATCATAAAAAGACAAAAAAACCCCACATGATCATCTCGATAGATGCAGAGGAAGCATTAGAGTTTCCTTGGGCACTGCAGGATTAATTTCCTCAGAAAGAAATGGAAAGGCTGCTTTCACTGAGGGTGGATAAGCCAATACTACTAAGAGTGGAGAGGCTAGTTCTACTGGGAAGGAGAGGCCACTTCCACTGGCAAAGAAGATTCATCAGATTTAGAGACTCAGTATTCCCTGCTTCATCAGAGTTTTCCCACATTTCCCCCTTCCAACTTATAGGATCTCATTCTTTCCCAATCAGTACTCTCACTATAAAAGTAGATATTTTTTGGCTGAAAGTTCAACTTGCATTGTTTTCAAACAGGTGCAGAATGAGATTCTGAATTTGATTTTCACCAGTCTCAGTGTTGTAGCTGCCAGAGATAAACGTCTCGTTCAGGGCACACATACAAACCTTCAATTCATTTATGTAGCACTTGAACTTGGAATACAAATCACTGAGCTCATTCTTTTCTTTCCCCACTTTATCCAGTGACATTAGGAACAACCAACCAACCTTATTATATTAATTAGTTTTCCAAAAATATTTGGAACTATTATATAGACAGTCACCCACCTCTATGCTTTTTATAAGTGGTTGATTAGGATATCTAATGGAGATATTTTGTCTATCTCTATTGCCTGGTCATTCCGTGGACTGTCAGTGCCTTCATAATGATTAGAAATAAAGTTATTAACATTTATATATCTAATTAGATTAGATAATCAATTCCAGACACCCCAGAACCAATTTGAAAAACTTATCCTTAAAATTATCTTCTAGAAAAATTATTGGCATTAAAATAATTGGATTCCTAGAGAAACAGAACCATATGAGACATATTACATATACATGAGATAGATATAAAATATGGAATTGTGGAAGCAGCAAAGTCTGAAGATCTGTAGTCAAGAACTTAGAGACCCAGAAGAGCCAGTAGTATAGTCCCAGTCCTAGTCCAAAGACCAGAGTTGAACTGGGTCTGAAGGCATGAAGGAGACCAATGTTTCAGTTCAAAGCCAGTTAGAGAAAGAGAGTGAATTCTCCCTTACTCAGTCTTTTTAAATTCTATTCAGGCCTCCAGTGGATTTGATGAGGACCACCCAATTGGGTAGGGCAATCTTCTTTACTCAGTGTACCAATTCAAATATCAATCTCATCCAGAAACACTCTCACAGATATACCCCAAGTAATATTTAACCAAATAGCTAGGCATCCTACGGTTCATTGGCATTGACATATAAAATTAGCATTCACTGACTATTAGTAAAAGGTCAAAAAACAACAGATGCTGTCAAGGCTGCAGAAAAAAGGGAATGCTTATATGCTGTTCATGGAAACGTAAATTAGTTCAACCACTGTGGAAATCAGTTTGGAGGTTTCTGAAAAAACTTAAAAAAGAGCAACTATTCGACCCATCAATCCCATTATTCGGTATACACCCAAAGGAAAATAAATCATTCAACCAAAAAGACACATGCACTTGTATGTTCAACACTCCACTATTCATAATAGCAAAGACACAGAATCAACCTAGGTGCCCATCAGTGGTAGATTAGTTCAAGAAAATGTGGTATATAGCCACCATGGAATACTACAGAGCTATAAAAAGAACAACATCATGTCTTTGCAGCAACATGGACGCAGCTGGAGGCCATAATCCTAAGCAAATTATTGTAGGAACAGAAAACCAAATAACACATGTCCTCGCTTATAAGTGGGAGCTAAACATTGGGTACACAGGGACATAAACATGGGAACAATAGACACTGCGGACTACTGGTGCAGTGACATAGTTTGGCTGTGTCCCCACCCAAATCTCAACTTCCATTGTAGCTCCCATAATCATAGCTCCCATAATTGTAACTCCCATAATTCCCACATGTCATGGAAGGGACCCAGTGGGAGATAATTGAATCATGGGGGTGGGTCCTTCCCATGCTATTTACCTGATAGTGAATAAGTCTCACAAGATCTGATGGTTTTATAAAGAGGGGTTCCTCTGCACATGCCCTCTTGCCTTCCACCATGTAAGATGTGACTTTGCTCCTCCTTTGCCTTCTGCCATGATTTTGAGGCGTCCTCAGCCATGTGGAACTGTGAGTCAATTAAACCTCTTTCCTTTATAAATTAACCAGTCTTGGGTATGTTCTTATTAGCAGCATGAGAGCAGACTAATACATCTGGGGAGGGGTGTCATGAGTGAAAAAGACTAACCATTGGGTGTTATGCTTATTACCAAGGTGGCAGGATCCATACCTCAAACCTCAGCATCATGCAAAATACCCATGTAACAAACCCGTACATGTACCCCTGTTTCTAAAATAAAAGTTGAAATACAAAAATAGCATTTACAACTTGCCTGAACAACCTGAAAATGAAATCATCAAAGCAATTTTATTGTCAATTCAATAGCATCAAAAGTAATAAGGAACACATTTTAAAGAAGTATAAAATATAGACTGTGAAAACTAGAAAACACTGCTGGAAAAATTAAAGATCTAAATAAATGGAAAGACGTCTGTGTTCATGGATCTTAAGACAATATTTTTAGGATAGTGATACTCTTAAAATTGATCTATAAATTTAACATAATTCTTATCAAAGTCCCAGCTGGCTTATTTCCAGAAATTAACAAGCTGAACCTAAAATTTATGTGGAAACTCAAGGGAAAAAAAGCCAAAAAAAATTGGAAAAGAAGAAAAAAGTTGAAAGACTCACAATTCCCAATTTCAAAACTTACTACAAAGTGAAAGCAATCAGAACATGGTGGTATTGGCATAAGTATAGACATAGGGATCAATAGAATAGAATGGAAAATACATTTAAAAATTGTATTAATGGTAAATTGATCCTTGAGAAGTGTGCCAACACAATTCAATGAAGAAAGAATAGTCTTTTCAACAAATGATTCTGAGACTACTGGATATCCACATGCAAGAAAATGAAATCAGACCCTCTGCCTCACACCATAATACAAAAATTAATTCAAAATGGATCAAATACTTAAATGTAGATTTAAAGCTGTAAAATTCTTTGAAAAAACATAGGGATAAATATGACTTTATATTATGCAAATGCTTTTAAAAATATGATAAAAACCCAAGCAACCCAAATAATATTTATTGGCTATCATCAAAGTTTAAAACGTACACATTTTAAAGTAAAATGACATCATAAAAATGAAAATATAACCAACAGAATCAGAGAATATATTTGCAAATCATGTATCTGAATGAAAATTTTATCTAGAAAAGTAAAGAAACTTAAAATTCTGTAATGAAGAGAAACACAATTTAAAAATGGGCAAAGGTTCTGAATAGACATTTCTCCAAAGAATATATACAAATAGCCACTAAGGATATGAAAAGATTCTCAACATCATTAATCATCATGGAAATGCACATCAAAGCCACAATAAGATATCACCTCAAATCCTCTAGAATGCTATAAAGGGTGTATAACAACAAGTGTTGGCAAGAATGTGGAGAAACTGGCATTCTTCTACACTGCTAGTGAGAACGTAAAATGATATAGGCACTTTGAAAACCAGTCTCACGGTTCCTCTCTGAATAATGTATCAAATGGCCCAGCAATTCCACTCCTACATATTTATCTGAAAGCAATGAAAACATGACCACACAAAATGTGTACAGGAAGGATCATAGAAGTGTTATTCATAATGGCCAAAAGGTGAAAACCACCTAAATGCCCATCAACTGAGGAATAGATAAATAAAATGGGGCTGGGAGCGGTGGCTCACGCCTGTAATGCCAGCACTTTGGGAGGCCGAGGTGGGCGGATCACGAGGTCGGGAGATCGAGACCATCCTGGCTAACACGGTGAGACACCGTATCTCCTAAAAATACAAAAAATTAGCCAGGCGTGGTGGCGGGCGCCTGTAGTCCCAGCTACTTGGGAGGCTGAGGCAGGAGAATGGCGTGAACCCGGGAGGCAGAGCTTGCAGTGAGCTGAGATCCCGCCACTGCACTCCTGCCTGGGAGACAGAGCGAGACTCCCTCTCAAAAAAAAAAAGGGGGGGTAAATCCATAAAATAAAATAGCACCCAGTAATAAAAAGTAATGAAGTACAAATATATGCTACAACAGAGATAATCCTTGAAAACATTGTGAGTGAAATAAGCCAGTTTCTAAAAACCTTGCATGATTCCATTCATATGAAATGTGGAAAACAGGCATATCTAAATAGACAGAAAGAAGCTTAGTGTCTGTCTAGGGCTGTCAGGGTAAATTTATAGGTGACTGCTGAAGAGTGGTGAAATCTACTAAAATTGGTTGTGTAACTGTTGCACAAATACATGAATATATTGTACTAAAATCCATTGAATTGTACACTTGAAATGGTTGAATGGTATCTGAATTGTGTATCAATGACCACCCTGGTATCTTCCTTGTGGCCCTGTGGGGTATGCCATGAAGGCTTTCTCTAAGACATATTGACTTCTGGTTTTTGCTCTAGAGTGTCAGAAGCTTGAAAGTGGCCACACCATCCTAAGAAGTAAAAAGCTGAACCAACTGAAAAACTAACAACTCTTAGATGCGTAAGAAAATAGCGGCACTATTCACAATAGCAAAGACTTGGAACCAACCTAAATGTCCAACAACGATAGACTGGATTAAGAAAATGTGGCACATATACACCATGGAATACTATGCAGCCATAAAAAAGGATGAGTTCATGTCCTTTGTAGGGACATGGATGAAACTGGAAACCATCATTCTCAGCAAACTATCACAAGGACAAAAAACCAAACACCGCATGTTCTCACTCATAGGTGGGAATTGTACAATGAGAACACATGGACACAGGAAGGGGAACATCACACACCAGGGACTGTTGTGGGGTCGGGGGAGCGGGGAGGGATAGCATTAGGAGATATACCTAATGTTAAATGACGAGTTAATGGGTGCAGCACACCAACATGGCACATGTATACATATGTAACAAACCTGCATGTTGTGCACATGTACCCTAAAACTTAAAGTATAATAATGATAAAATTTGAAAAAAAAGAAAAATGAAGTCTTAGGGCAAACTGGTCCCTCCAAAATTGAAGCAATTGATAGGCAGATGCAGAGAATCACAACTTACTGGAACAGAAATTCAGGAGCTGAAACCTCTGCGGCTACCAGTGCTGAACTATAATTAACAAACTGTTGGAAGCATTGTGTAGACAAGTCTCAGAGAGAAAAACTTGAGGGTAACCAAGTCGTTGTGGAAGAGGTGCACAATTTTGTGTTTTATCTCCTAGAGTTCTACCAGGTTCATAGGTGAATATGCTAGAAAAATCCCCTTGTGCTTCCTGCAGGAGAAGGGAGAAAGGAACCATTTTGAAATACACCAGAGCATTCTGTTCATTTTGATAAAATATGCTTTCAGGAGAAACTGTTTAACCTGCTAGGGTTTCATCAGAGCCTAACTGACCTTGGGGAAGAGAAATACCTGACTCCAGCTGGTTCTTGCCTTCCGTGTGGAGGAAGGGAAATAACTAATTCCAGGCCACTTTAGCCATCCTGTTCCACTTAAGGAGAGAAAAAAAAACCTGAGAAGCATGTGTGAAGTTCACAGTCCAGAGGCACAAGCTCACTAAAAGACTGAGAACTAATTATAGGACTATAGAGAGCTTCTCTACCCTCTTCACCTTACCACCACTTACTAAAGGCCTATTTTCATGCTTGTCCTTGTGATTCTTGGATTAAAAAATAAAGGCCTATTTTCAGCAGTTCCTTTTACCTAGCACATAATGTCCAGCTCTTAAGAAAAAAATCACAAGACATACTAAAAGGAAAAAAAAAAAAAGTTGAAAGAACAGAGAAAGCATTCAAACCAGACTCAGATACGACAGGGATGTTGGAATTAATTATAACAGCAGGAATTTAAAACAACTATGGTTAATTAATATGCTAAGGGCTTTAATGGATAAAGTAGATAGTATGCAAGAACAAGTGGTCAATGCAAGCAGAGAGATGGAAATTCTAAGAAAGAACAAAAAGAAATGCTACAGATCAAAAACACTGGAAGAGGCATGAAAATTGACTTTGATAGGCTTATTACTAGACTAGACAAAGCTGAGGTACAATGAGAACACATGGACACAGGAAGGGGAGAATCACACACCGGGGACTGTTGTGGGGTGGGGGCAGTGGGGGTGGATAGCATTAGGAGATATACCTAATGCTAAATGACGAGTTAATGGGTGCAGCACACCAACATGGCACGTATACATATGTAAAAAACCTGCACGTTGTGCACATGTACCCTAAAACTTAAAGTATAATAATAAAAAAAAGACTAAACAAAACAAAACAAAAAAAAAGGATATCTAAATAGTAATCTTCAAAATAGAAAAGTAAAGAGAAAAAAAGCTGGAAAAAAACCCAGAACAGAATATCCAAGAATTGTGGGACAACTCCAAATGGTATCACATCCTATGTGTAATGAGAATATTGAAAGGAAAGGAAGAAAGAAACAAAGGAAATATTTGGAACAATAATGACTATTTCCTCAAATTAATGTCACACATTAAACCACAGATTTACACAGCTTAGGGAACACCAAGAGAGATAAATGCCAAAAACTTACACCTATGCATATCATTTTCAAGCTACAGAAAATCAAAGATAAATTTAAAATTCTGAAAGAAGCCAGAGAAAATATATATCAGCATGGTATGTCTTTCTTTGTCTGAGTACAATGCTAACATCAAATTTTTATTTAAAAAAACCAGGAATAACTATATTACTTGCAGACAGAATAGATCTCAGAGCAAGGAAAGTTATCAGGAATAAAGAAGTGCATTATGTAATGATAAAGGGGTCAATTATCCACAAATACATAACAATTTTAATATGTATGCACCTAACAACAGAGCTTGAAAATACACGGGCAAAAACTGATATAAGTGCAAGAAGTAGATGAATTCACTATTATAGTTGGAAATTTCAACACCCCACTATCAGAAATAGTTTCAGCAGGCAGAAAATCAGTAAGGACATCATTAAACTCAACAATACAATCAATCAACTGTATATAATGGACACCCACAAACTCCTTCATCTGACAACAGCAGAATAAATATTCTTTTCAAGCTGACAATGAACATTTACCAAGAAAGACCACATTCTGGATCATAAAGCAAACCTTAACGAATTTAAAACAATAGAAATTACAGTGTCTTTCTCACACCACAATGGAACTAAATTTGAAACCAGTTAAAGAAGAATAGTTGGAACATTCTCAAATACTTGGAGATTACAAAGCACACTTCTAAAAGTGGTAAAAGCATATGACAAATTTCACCATCTATTCATGGTAACAGCAAAACCAAACCAATTTTTTAAAACTCTCAACACACTAGAAATAAAGGAAATATTCAAATCTGATGAACAATGCCTAAAAAAAACTACAAGAAACGTTACATTGCATTGTAAAGTATTGAAAATATTCTGTTTGTCATTAGTTCTAAAAAGCAAAAGTGTTCACTGTTAATATTTCTATTCAGCATTACACTTTGCATTCTGATCAGTGCAATCTGACGAGAAAATGTATACTTAAAATTTTCTTCCGAGAGTTTATCTCTTTTTAAAAGTTTTTTAGAGGTGGGGTATTGTTATGTTGCCTAGGCTGGTCTCAAACTCCTGGCCTCAAGCCATCCTCATGCTCACCCTCCCAAGTAGCTGCAATTACAAGCATGAGCCACCATGCCCAGCAAGAGAATATCTTAAGTGTCCTGACCACACACAGGTACACACACACACACACACACACACACTCACAATATTGGTAACTGAAGTGATGGATGTATTAATTAACTTGATTTTGGTAATCATTTCAAAAGGCATTACTTACATCATCACATTATACACTTTGAATATATACAATTTTATTTGCCAGTTATACCTCAGTAAAGCTTAAATACAAAACAAAAGAATGAAACTGTATTAGAAAAGCATGAGGTTTTTTCTATTGAGGCAAGATGGCTGATAAGAAGCAGCTGCACTCCATGGTACTCATGGAGAGGAATGAAAATGGGGCAAGTGAATTCAACACCTTCAACTGAAGCTTTCTAAAGGCTGTTTGCCATCAAATGGCGAAGTCAACAACTTTTCTAAAACTAGTTACCTTTCTTCTTTTTTTGAGTAATAAAAAGCAGTTTTATCACCTTTTAAATATGGTTCAATTAAATGTTATGTAATAAAAACTTTGGTTTTAAAAAAGGGAAAAAAGAAAAGCATTAGAAAATTTTGACTTCATAAAAATTAAAAATTTCTCATGGAAAAAGGTATATGGTCAAAATATTAAAATGAAGAAAATATTTACAACATAACTGGTTAAAAGTTTAGTGTTCTTACTCTGCAAAAATACTTTACAAATAAATATAAAACCAAAGTTTTAAAAATAATTTAATAATTTTTGCCAGTCTGAGGATTTGAAGTGATACCTCATTTTTGGTATTGTTTTGATCTCTCTAATTGCTAGTGAGGTAAAGCATTTTTAAAATACAGAATTTAGCTATTTAGATTTTTCTTTTACTTCTTACTATCTTTTTCCCATTTTTCTTACTTGGTTATATAATGTAGAAACATTGATGTGTAGATTTATACATGTATATTAGATACTAATACCTTTCATATTCTTCAAATGTGTATACCTTGTGTTTCTAGTGTTTCTTTAAATAGAAATTTTCTCTTTTCCTCTTTTATTTGTGGTTTACTGTGGCTTCTTAAAAAATCTTCCCTATTGATATGTCTTTATTCTAAAATTTTTAAGTGTGTGTTCCATTTGTCTATTTCAGTATTTATGAGTATTCCTGTATCAATATTATATTGTGTGATCATGGTTTATTTTTGCTTTGTTAGGATGAGTTTCTGCCTTTCTCTTTTTTATCAAACTTCTCTTGCATATCTTGGCTCTATTTTCTTTTTTATAATTTTAGAATCAGCTTGTCTAGTTCTATGTAAAAGCTGTTGAGATTTTGCTCGTACTAATGTTGATTGTTAGCATTGTAATATTGAATGGCTAAACACACAAATACGGTAAATATCTAAATTTACTGTGATCTTTGAGTTTCTCAATTCAAATTTTATAGTTTCCTACATTATGATCTTACTCATCTTTTAAGAGATTTATTTTTTACTTACATGAGAGTTCTTGCATCTATTATAAATTTTATTTTAAAATTCTGTTTTGGAATAATTACAGCTTAGGATGTTATTGGTTTTGTACATCGAATTCGTATCTTAACTTCACTGATTTGTCTTACTAGCTTTATCGGTTTTTCTGAGATTTTCTATGGAAAAGTTGTATGTAAATAGTTGCATAATTTAAATATGAGGTTAGTTTCATGACTTTGTTTTTAATCCGTATACTTCCTTCAATTTTCTTATCCTATTTTTTGCTATTATTTGAGTAGAAATTGTGAAAGCAAACACTTTGTCATCTACCTGGCTTTAAGGGGATTATCACTAATACTTCACAATTAATTATGATGTTTTTAGAGGTTGCTAGTGGCCATCCTTTGTCAAGTTAATGTAGCTTCTTATGTTCAATATGACATGGTTATCAAGAACAGGATTTCTAGAGCTGAATTATCTGGTTCAATCATGCTCCAATATTTACTAGCCACTGGACCTGAGAGGAGTTTTATAACTGCTTTGTGCCTAATACAACAGCTTTGTGGACACTTGCTTTTGTCATAGCATATGTGGAACCATAAATATATATATATATAGCATGCTATAATATACTGATATATATATATCAGTGTTTATATCTATAAATATATCAATATAAATTGATGTATATACAACATGAGTTGTAATTTTTCCTCTTTCTTTTCTGATTTTATTTGAGTTGTCTCTTTTTTTCTTAATCTAGCTAGATTTTTGTTAGTTTTGTTGATCTTTTCAAGAAAATCAACTCAGTTTCTTTTTTTTTTATTTTCCTCTATTTGCTATTTTCTCTCTTTCTGCTGGAATCATTATTATTTCCTTTCTCTGCTAACTTTGGGCTTAGTTTCTTAATTTTTTCTAGTTCCTTGTGATGTAGTGTTAGATATAAGTTATTTTATTAATTGATTTTCTGAAGTTAAGCCAATCTTGCATTCCCAAGATATTTTGCAATTTGTCATGGTGTATAATCCTTGTTATATGGTGCTGGAATTAGTTTGCTAGTATTCTGTTGATGAGTTTTGCACCTATATTCATAAGAGATGTTGGTAGCTAGTTTGCCTTTGTTGTGATGTCTTTGGTTTTTGTACCAGGATAATATTGGTCTTATAGAGTGAGATGGGAAGTGTTTCCTTATTTTTTATTTGTGGAAGCATTTGTGCATCATTGGTATTAATTATTTCTTATGTTTGGTAGAATTCACTAGTATTACTAATTCATTCTCTTTACCTGTCACACGGATAGTCAGATTTTCTATTTCTCCTTGCATCAACTGTAGTAGTTTATGTTTTTCTAGAAATTTGTCTGTTTCATCTAAATTAATGTGTTGGCATACAGTTGTTTACAGTATTCCTTTATAACTTTTATTTCTGTAAGGTCAGTAGTAATGTCCCCTTTTTCAAACCTCATTTTATATGTTTTAGTGTTTGTTTATTTATTTATTTATTTTTGGTCCATTTAGCTAAATTTTGTTGACCTTTCAAAGAGCTTTCAGTTCATTGCTTCTCTTTTTTGTTTTTCTGTTTCTGTTTCATTAATTTTCACTCTACTTTTTATCTTCTGCTAGCTTTAGGTTTAGTGTACCCTTCTTTAGTGTACCACCTGAGACCAGTTTTTAATGTTTTGTTTCTACCTTTTAATTCCCAAGCCTGCAGGCAGTATAAAGTCAGCCCCCAAATATGCATAAAGCTCACATCACTCAGTGTCAGTTCATAGACTTGCTCCTCTGGTTATCATTCTTTCTTCATTTCTTGGCCCTGAGTAATTTTCTTTCTATCTTGCAAACCTACTTATGTCATTTTTTAAAGCTATAATTTCTGAGTAGTATAGCATAAAGGTCATTAATTCAGATCAATAGGCCCATGCACATCACATGTAATTTCAGGTTAGTGGAGAATTAGAGTCCAAAACTTATTCCCACCTCCACTAGATAATCCTTAAGGAAGACAGAAAAGCCAACTCCTTGTAGGCAAGAGAGCATTTTGCTTATGTCTTCAGTATTTGAAGCATCGAATCTGACTTTAGATAAAGTCTCCATAGTAGAGGATGTTTTATAGTAAATGAATATAAAATACAAATATGGAATTACTATTTCACTGCAACCAAATTTTTTGAGTATGCCTTCAAGTCAGCTGTATATAATTTGCTCCTTAAAATAAAAACACTTTTTTAATATCAGCATTAACTTAGATAGCAGTAAGTAATTATAATAAATTATTTTAGCAATCTCATTATGAATAAATAAAATCTACCTGAGGAGGCCATTTTTCTATTTTTACCACTGTTTTTCCTCAAATTGTTTGTAAATTACTGAATTTGTTTTCTTGAAAGATTGGTATGAATTAGAATTTGGTAAAGTAAACTCTTAATTTTATCTCTCAAACTTTTAAAATCTTAGAAGATTACTTCTTACTGTGTATCTCATTTCTTTGTCTACAAAATATGATTAATGACACTAATCTGGAGACAATTTATAACAAAGATGTAAGAGACAGAGCAGAATCTGAAATGTAATTTTTACCCCTTATCAAGGAAACCGCAAATAATAAAAGACTGCATTATTCAGATGTTGAGTATCTCCAGTGCTTAGTGTGGTTCAGCTGAGGGTATGATGCAGAGAGTAAAATACTTCACTCTACGAAGTCGGCCTTTTTTTTTTAAAAAAATGAATACTTTGGAGAGAGAGAGACCAACTAGATCAGGTGTCTCAAAGTCATCTTCATTCTCACCACTCATATTTATAAATGCTTTGCTCTGAGCTCTTCCTAATTTATATTTTTGGATTCCTGTACGTTTTTAATCTCACTGAAATAATGAGCATGTTTTCAAATGCTGAATGCTAAGTAAAGCCTATATGTTGCCCTTGGAAAAGTGCTATTGTTGCATTTCATGGCCCTATATTTCAGCTCCCATCATTTTTTCAGGTGTAGCTTGTAACAGCAGAGCTGATAAAAATAAACCTGAGCAAAGAAAGAGGTGATCCCAATCCATTTGATATTTATTACTGACAGTCATTGCTCAGAAAATACATGAAAAATATACCTGATCATGAAACAAAGAAATATACTTACTGTTATTAATTAAAGAGGAAAAATGAATCTGCTCACCTCCAAACAAGGTAAACCCTCTAGATCTATTTATTTTTTTTCCCCACAGGATCTTATAAAGAAATCTTGACATGGCCTTTCCTTTTGACTTCCAGATGTAAGAAGAGCCAAATTGTTTCCAATTTAAAGCTCAGAGTTTGATCCTTTTCAATTTACAACTCCAGCCTCATTTTCCATATACCTAACTGAACCCAGAACCTTCCTATCACGCCAGTAGCTTGCTTAAAAATCTTTGTAACAACTGAGGAATGATTGCAATAACTAGCATAAGGTAAGTCCATGTGATGACGGAACCTGTGTTTTACCAAGGGTGCTATGGTAAATATTTGTTCAACAAATAAATATTCAAATATTCATTCACTAAATGTTTGTTCAACAAGTAAAATAACGAAAATAGAAATTTGTGAGACACATGAATGGTCTATCAAGGACATGAAAGCTGCCAATTCAAGTCATTACGAAGCCTCTTAAGTGGAGAAATACTCAAAAGGAAAGAGCTTAGCTATCATCCATGCATTGTTCATGTCACAGGAAAAATGCATGAGTTCATTTATACGCATTTAACATTAACATTGATTCAAGCTATTCTTTTTGTTTTGTTTTAGTTTTGCAAAAGCAGACACAAACGAGTGCATGTTTTCCCACTGCAGTCACCACCAGGCATCTTCCCCAGCCCCCAACCCATAATCTAAACTTTGCACAAGTTAAATGTTAACTTTTGGGAAGAGGCCAGGTGAAAATCTTCACCTTAGCTCAAATGTCCTCCTTCCTGTCAATGAAAGCAGTTCATAACTGCAGATCAACAAATGGGAAAATAAGTCTGATTCTATTCTTGTGTTTTGCTGGAAGAGGAACATTTGAGAAGAATTTTTTTTTAAGTTACAGGATAACTCATTGGAATTCTCTACCATTTAAAATTAAAACTACAACAATAACAAGAGTGATAAAACTTCATTGTTCCAGCCTTGCAAATGTTGACACAAAAAAATCAGAGCTTTCCTCTTACCTCCTATAGAAAGCAAAAAGGAATGAGAGAGATCACTAAATACTCTTAGCCATAAACCTAAGGGTTTATGATCTGTGATCTTCCAAATCCGTAGTCTTCAAGGCTGATTTAGCAGACCTCCACTCTATACCATAGCGAGGTTACATTTTCGACAAAATTGCAGTCACGTCAAAATACCCAAAGCATTGCCTTGTACTGAGTACTTTCTCTGTAATAAGTGCTGAGGATACAAAAATGAACACAGCACTGTCCCTGCGTCAAGGTGGTAACATTGTATGGGAAGACAGACAAGCATATAGGCCCTGATGAGGAGGGTGCTAAGTGCTGAACAGGGGCTGTGACCTGGTACTCTTTGGGTAGCTGGTGGGTCACCCAATTCATTCCTGATGGGTCAAGAAGCTTATATGGGGGAAGTGGCTTCCAAGCTGAAGACTGGAAGACAAATAGAAACCAATGAGTTATAAAAGAAAGAAAATAGGCCAGGCGCGGTGGCTCACGCCTGTAATCCCAGCACTCTGGGAGGCCGAGGCGGGCGGATCATGAGGTCAGGAGATCGAGACCATCCTGGCTAACACGGTGAAACCCCGTCTTTACTAAAAATACAAAAAATTAGCTGGGCGAGGTGGCGAGCGCCTGTAGTCCCAGCTACTCGGGAGGCTGAGGCAGGAGAATGGTGTGAACCCAGGAGGCGGAGCTTGCAGTGAGCAGAGATCGCACTACTGCACTCCAGCCTGGGAGACAGAGCGAGACTCCTCCATCTCAAAAAAATAAAAGAAAAGAAAAAAAAAAGAAAAGAAAGAAAATAAGTGGAATTAAGTTATTCAAAGCAATAATTATATTCCAAATTTTTAGGTTCTTCTGTTACATTTTTCTCTGTCCTGTTTTTTTTCCACGTTCTCCTTATATGTGTCCATGAATGAACCTAAAATGCTGGCATTTAACTTATACAAACAGATGAGTTCCTCTTGTCCATAGGCATCCCTGATTATGTATACTGGCACTGAGTTTCCAGTGCATGTGAGAGATTTCAGGATTGTTCTAAAATTGATCATAAAGAAGCAATGTTTCAGATAAATACTGTGACTTGTAATGGAGTTTCAAAGAAACTCTGGCGAAATCCGTGAAAAGAGAGAGAAAGACAAGTAAGTCAAAAGGAACACATTGTGCAACACCTTCAAAAAAGGAATTTAACCCAAGTTGCACAGCAGAACCAGTGGCATTTGGTATCACACATCTGGTATATAGACATCAAGGGAAAGACAAGTAAAACTTAATAGTACCTAATATTGAAATTTGGCTGGAAATATGAGCAAATGAAGACGTCCAAAGTGTAAAGTAAGTCTGTTAATTTTGAGGAAAAGGGAAGTTATTTTCTAAACCAGAATAAAATCACTTCAGGATATCAAAGAGTTAACAAAATGCAATTTTTCTGCTTAAAAGTGAATAAACTTTAATATTTAGTCATTAATACAATTATTTTACAAAAATTCTATACAAAATGGAATCTGCATTAGTGGTGGGTAGTTTTATTAGTGAATCTTTATTTTTATTAGTGAATATACATTTTTAAAATAAAATGTATGTGCATATATTCCTGGAAATATTTTTTCGTCACTTATGAGACATGCATAACGTTAATCAAGAACATACTTAAGGGCAAAGACTTCATGAGGAAAACACCAAACACAATTGCAACAAAAGCTGAAATTGACAAATACAATCTAATTAAACTAAAGAGCTTCTGCACAGCAAAAGAAACTATCATCAGAGTGAACAGGCAACCTACAGAATGGGAGAATATTTTGGCAGTCTACCATCTGACAAAGGTCTAATATCCAGAATCTACAAGGAACTTAAACAAATTTACAAGAAAAAAACAAACCCATCAAAAAGTGGGCAAAGGATATGAACAGACACTTTTCAAAAGAAGACATTTATGTGTCCAACAAACATATGAATAAAAGCTCAACATCCCTGATCATTAGAGAAATGCAAATCAAAACCACAATGGATACCATCTCCCACCAATCAGAATGACAATTATTAAAAAGTCAAGAGACCGCAGATATAGGTGAGGCTGTGGAGAAATAGGAATGCTTTACCCTGTTGGTGGGAATGTAAATTAGTTCAACCGTTGTGGAAGGTACTGTGGTGATTCCTCAAAGATCTAGAACCAGAAATGCCATTTGACCCAGCAATCCCATTACTGGGCACATACTCAAAGGAATATAAGTAATCTACTATAAAGACACATGCACACGTATGTTTATTGCAGCACTATTTACAATAGCAAAGACATGGAACCAACCTAAATGCCCATCAATGATAGACTGGAGGAAGAAAATGTGGTACATATAGAGCATGGAATGCTCTGCAGCTATAAAAAGGAATGAGATCATGTCCTTTGCAGGGACATGGATGAAGATGTAAACCATCATTCTCAGCAAACTAACACAGGAAGAGAAAACCAAACACTGCACTTTCTCACTCATAAGTAGGAGTTGAACAATGAGAACACATGGACACAGGGAAGGGAACATCACACATCCGGCCAGTTGTTGGGTGGGTGAGGGGAGGGAAAGCATCAGGATAAATAGCTAATGCATGCGGGGCTTAAAACCTAGATGACACGTTGATAGGTGCAGCAGACCACCATGGCACATGTATACCTATGTAACTAATCTGCAGATTCTGCACTTGCATCCCAGAACTTAAAGTAAAAAATTTTTTAAAAGAATATGCTTAAGAGATACAAAGTCCAACAGGTAGCACCGCATTGGTGGCTATGATTTCCTTGCAGAGTAACAAGTTACAGCAGGATGGTCTGCAGTTAATATTAAATTTTTTGAAACAGCTAATAGTTAAGGTACAAGAAACGACCTTTTTACAGCACTGGCATACTGCAATTCTCTCTTTTAGGTGATTAAAAGAAAAGGTACATCATTTGAAAGAGGATTAAAGTAAAATGCAAACTTACTTTAAAAAGAAAGAAAAGGAAATATTAAAATAATTTAAATATGTGAATGCCTGCATATTTGGCAAATTTCCCTTCAAATCAAACCATCCTTCTATTCCTTGATTATTAACACAAAAAAGAAAAGGAATCACTCTCCTTTTGACTGGAGCTGCATTACTGCCTATCTGCTGATTAGACAACCTGCTTCTTCCTAATTTATCACTTTAATGTTACCGTTAGTATAAATGACTGGGCTGCAAAACACTAAAACACAATTATAAATGGTACTGACCAGCTTACAGAGGTGCCAGTGCAAGCAAAGAACTGGCCTTCCATTAATCACCATTTGCTTTGATAGCGCAACATTCATTTCGTTTATCACTTGATCTCTTTCTATTATTTCTTCCATGAAAGGGTGTTTAATCAGCATTATTTATTTCAAATTGTATTTTCCTGAAAGCTTTTAAAAAGCTCCTAACGAGGGCAAAATTACTGTGCTCACTTAATGAAACACCCAGCCCCACAAGACAGAGGCTGATGTTCTGACTGCCTTAAAAGAAGTGAATTGTTAGGAGAGAGTCTAAAGAAAGATTAATTTTTACTATTATATGGCTTCTTGTTATGTGTGTGTGTGTGTGTGTAGTAACCAAAATGACACTCATTAAAATGAATGGAATGTAGTTAATTGACTTAATTAGTAAACAATGAAGGGTTAAAGAAAGACTCTATGGTCCGATAATTAATATGGCAAATGAAGAGTAAGAATTGTAAATTCATGAGAATTAAGGGATGAATTCATGAGAATTGTGAGGTCTTATCAGTGAATGCATTGCTGATGATTTTAGGTTATCCATGCTGCAAAGTTATCTGCTGCTAGAAGAGACACATGCCATTGCTGTCTGTTTCTCTTACTGGCCAGCCACTCATTCACTTTTCAGTACCTCTATTAACCAGAAACAGTAAAATCCTCATGTTTTACGAGATAGATATGAGATTCTTAAGTAAAATGACTATTTTCGCAAATCTTCTGTCTATGCTATCTGTGATATATTTGGGCTAATAGGGTATGATCCTCCTTTTACAAGGAAGCTCGTTTGCAATAAGGCTTTATTTTGCCTGCTCAGGCAGTAGTGGCAAGGTAAACAGTGATGGAAAACAAACAGGTAGAATTAGAAGGTGATGCAAAAAAACTGGATTCCTTTTTTTTTTTTTTTTTTAAAGATGGAGTCTCACTCTGTTGCCCAGCCTGGAGTGCAGTAGTGGATCTTGGCTCACTGCAACCTCCGCCTTCCAGCTTCAAGTGATTCTCTGCCTCAGCCTCTTGAGTAGCTGGGACTACAGGCATACACCAGCATGCCCTGCTAATTTTTGCATTTTTTTAAGTAGAAACGGAGTTTCACCATGTTGGCCAGGCTGGTCTCGAACCCCTGACCTCAAGTGATCCACCCTCCTCAGCCTCCCAAAGTGCTGGGATTACAAGTGTGAGCCACTGTGCCTGGCCCAAAAACTGGATTCTGATCCATGTCCTGCCACCGAGAAGTTGAGATTTACAAACATGTAACTTCTAAATCTCTGTAGAACAGGGATATTAGACGAGTGTTTTGTACTTGTACATTCTGTAACTTTTAAATCAACTTTTATAGTATGTATATACACATACAAAACAAGACGTACAGATATGCCAGGCAGTTTTCTGAGAACTTTAGATATATTAACTCATTTGATCTTCACATCAACATTGTGATATTGGAACCATCATTATCCCCATTATACGGATGCAAAAATGGAGGCAGAGAGAAGTTCAGTAGTTTAACCAAGATTACAATCGGTAAGTGGTACAGCCTCAATTTCAACCCAGACAGGCCGGATCCAGGATTCATATGGTTATTGACTATATTGTACCATAATTTAAATTTCTTTGATACCAGTGCTCATCCATACATTTTTTCCTCTTTTATTTTAATAACGTTACTTTCAAGGAAGACTTATGTTTCAACCATAAATGGAAAAACATTATCACCGTACGCAGGTTACTATAAATATTATTTAAAAAATTAAATAAGAGCTGGACATGGTGACTTACCCCTGTAATCCCTGCACTTTGGGAGGCCAAGGCAAGAGGATTGCTTGTCCAGGAATTTGAGACCAGCCTGGGCAACAAAGCAAGACCCCATGTCTACCAAAAGTGAAAAATTAGCTGGTCATGGTCATGTGCCTACAGTCCCAGGTACTTGGGAGGCTGAGGTGGGAGGATCACTCATACCCTGGAGTTAAAAGTTTGCAGTGAGGTTTGATCATGCCACTGCATTCCAGCTTGGGTGACATAGCGAGACCCTGTCTCAAACAATAATAATAATAAGGTTATTTAAAAATAAACAAAGAAGTAATAATAAATCTATTTCTAATTATAGCAGAAGAGATTTAGACTGATTTACCCCGGATTGCAGAGTGATTTTTTTTTTTTTGCATATCTGGAAAACAATCTCAGTGTTCCAACTTCCAGTTCAAGGTTGTATTCACCATACCTGTCCTTTCTTACATCACTAGCAGTTCAGCTATCTTCTTATTCCCCAGGAGGTCTCTATTTACTGGGAATTCTACCTCCCCTACTCTTAGTTGCATTACCTGTTTCTCTTTCTCTGAAAGCTTTCTTGCTCATTTTCTACTCCACATGTCTTCCCAAGCATTCTTTTCTTCTTCTATCGGTGGGATTGCTCCGTGTTGGGGCTGAGTTCTCCATCTGGAGATCTTGGATGTCAAGGAAGGATTGAGGAGTCAGTATGATCATCAGAGTCCACCTTTCCCTTGGGCACTTTGCTGATCAGCCTGCTCCTCTAGACATGTGTCACACACACTCTCTTCCCCACCCACGCAGCTGACGAGCACCACAGTCCGGTCTTGGGACTCAAAACACCTCCGCCTCAGCTATAGACAGATTTCCTGGCTTCGTTCCTTCTTCCTCTGGCTCACCTTCTCTTTCCTCTCCTCCTTTCTAGTCTTTGAGTCATGCATGGTAATTACACAATGGTGGGAAAATATAAACACCAAGATCAAGATGTTTGATCTTGTACCACCTAAAATTACCTCACAAACTATGGGCAGCACACACCCTCCACTTTTAGAAGTGCTGTAATATTTTGTGTATATGGCTCTTTTCAGTTTTAAAATAACAAGGCCTAAAATGGGCCAAGTCAGCCACCTACTCATCAATCTTCTCTGAATAATCACATTAAGACTTCACTGCAATTGGAACCAGTTGGACGATTACTTTGTGGCCTGAATCTAACTGGCAGTGTTGAACCCACTGCAGTTCTTGAGCTTTCTATGAGATCCTTTTCAATTGTGGTCACACCCTCTCCCACAATGTGACTGTGGACTTCTGTGGCAACACTTACCTGGAATGAGGGAATTTGTGTGTTTGCAGGAAAAGAAGGAAACTTGTGGAAAGGAGTCTGTGTCCACCGGAATAGGCTGGTGGCCTAATTCAATGGTGCCAGGGCAGTTTGGGAAAATTAATTTCACAGAAATACAAATTTAATATGCAAGCTGTACTTAAAGGGAGTGACATGTACTATTGGAAGGAGTTCTTGATGAGGAAGGAGCGCCACCTCGAGCAATTATAGAGCAAGAAACATGAGCCTTGAGGACAGAAAAACTGCACCTGAAAAACTGAAGGATTGATGAATGTGTTTTGGGAAATTTTTTCATGGATTTTGAGTTTAGAATAACAGAATCTAGAGACTTGTGTGTAAATATAGGAATCATCGTTGTTCATCATACAGTGTAATGAGAAATGAGGTGACTAAGAGCCGCCTGAATATTTTAAATATATTTTATGTAATATATTACATATAGTATAATATTACACATATTACATTTATAATATGCATATATACACATATATAATCATGGATACTTTAAATGATACTCTTGGATGCCTTTGATTTGAAAAAGAGATTTATGAGTTAAACCCAGAGACTGAAGACCACAAACTTTTAGAAACTGGTGTACACATAGCAATTAGCTATAAGTACTGACAGCAAAGGTACAGTGTTTTGTATAACTGCCGAAGTGGGCCAACTTAAAATCCAATATAAGAAGCGAAAGGAAAAAAAGGTACATTTCTCAATAAGTTCTCTCATATTTATAGCTTCAACCATATTCACACTACGATGGGGCATTATTGCTGAATTTTTCAATGACTTGATTATTTGGACAACTACCCTACTGGGTGTTTGTCAGGTCGTATTTTCATTTGGTTTTACTACTGTGTGCCAGACTGGGTTAAAGAGGTGGTTCATACTGCCAAAAAGTCTTTTTAAATATCAAGTCCAGTGGGAAGTGTGCATTAATTTCATTCTGAAGTCTACTCTCCTAATTCCAAAATGTCTTATGAAAGAGCAAATAAAACCGTTCCAATGTTGTGCTTTCACTCAACACCAAGAGGAGCCCACCATCCCGGATAAGTATATGCCTTACCATGATTAGGCAGAGAGTGGGCCTCCTGAGTCTACTCTGGCTCCCAGCTAGTACAGAAAGAGTCCACATATTCTTCTAGTCACCCTGTGGAGTAGGGGAAAGTGAGAAGTGTGATGCTGGAACTTCATGAAGGCAGCTCAGGCAAGGGATAGGGTAACCTCTGCAGGGATTGTGGGGTGCACAATTCCTAAGCCAGAGAATAGAAAGAGAATTTGGATGAGAATTCGAGTTGACTTCAGGGCCAGCAAGAGCTCAGGTAGAATTGAATAAAAGGAGAGGCATAGGCCCTGACCATGCCAAGAGAAAGTATAGACTTTAGACTATCAGCTGCAAACTTCAGTCAAGGCTTCAGTAATTGATGCCAGCAGAGCAGTCACCACAAGAAAACCAAGAGATATAGAGGAGTCAGGAAGACATGAACAATAACAGCATAAGGTAACGGTGCTTAGAGCCCAGGCTCTTCTCCAGGCTAGCATGAAGGCCTGTGTGTAATGCCATTGCCCAGATGCCATCTTAGAGAAGAGGAAGATGGAGAGAAACAACTGAAAAAGTGAACATTTCCCCAAACACACTAAGTTGCCTGAATAAAATGATTTAAAATAGAAGAGATGAAGATATAGAATTGGCAAGTTTAATGCTCTCTTTCCAGTGCTAGTAGGGTGATACTTACAAGGAAGATTAATAGATCAGTAACAGAAAATAAGTAAACTATATATTTCTTTGAATATATGATTAGTGGTGTGTAATTTTTTTTTTTTTTTTGAGATGGAGTCTTGCTCTATCACCCAGGCTGGAGTGCAGTAGTGCAATCTTGGCTCACTTCAACCTCCGCCTCCTGGGTTCAAGTGATTCTCCTGCCTCAGCCTCTCCAGTAGCTGGGATTACAGGCACCCACCACCACACCCTGCTACTTTTTGTATTTTTAGTAGAGACGTGATTTCACCATGTTGGCCAGGCTGGTATCAAACTTCTGACCTCAGACGATCCACCCGCCTCTGCCTTCCAAAGTGCTGGGATTACAGGCATGAGCCACAGTGCCTGGCCACTAGTGTGTAAATTTGTCTCATTTTTCCTTTCTCTCTTCTCTTCCTTTCTTCCTTGACTTCTCCTATTTTTGGCCTGTCCTTTACTAAATAAACAATGCCTTCCTCTTAGGTGTTTGCTACTTTATTAGATGTTTGGAATGAAAAGGCAGAAATGGCAGGTCCTTCCTGTCATTCCAGGTCCTTCCTGGTGTAGAAAAACATGTAAATACTAATTACATTATAGTTTGATGAGTGTGGAACACAGGTGTGGGCAAGATGTTTTAGGTGACATGACTGAAGGAACTGTTTTTCTCTACAGAGAGTATAACTTGGAGTTTGAGTATGATTCTGTTGGGCTAATAACAGAATTTGCAGACAATATGACTGTCTGTGTAGAAGATCCCAAAGAATCTACCAAAAACTTTAGGCACTAAAGAAACGAAGTTTAAAGGTTATGGGACAACAAGAGAATATACAAACATCAATTGTATACCTATATATCAGAAATGAATATTTGGAATTTGTAGTTTGAAAATCAATATCCTTTATAATAAAAGCAGAACAATGATCTATCGAACAAAATATGTGCAGAATCTGTAAGCTGAAAACCATAGAACACTAATGAAAGAAATCAAAGATGTACACAAATAGGGAGATATACCATGTTCATGAATTGGAGACAATATTCCCCCCAATTTGATCTACTGAGTCAACCCAATGGTAATCAAAATCCCAGCAAACTTCTTTAGAAAATAATTATAAGCTGATTCTAAAATTTACATGAAAAGGCAAAGGAAATAGAAAGCCAAAATAATTCTTGAGAGAAGAACAAATCGAAAATAATTATTGAAAGAATAAAGTCAGAAGACTCACACTGCCTGAAGGCAGAACCTGCACTTGTGGCCTGATTCTAAGACTTACTATAAAGTGCAGTAATCAAAACAGTGTAGGTTAGGCAAAATGATAAACATGTTAATTTTTGAAATAAAATAGCCCAGAATTAAACCCACACAAAATAATCAACTGACTTTTTACAAGGTGCAAAGGCAATTTAATAGAGAAAGGGTAATTCTTTAAACAACTAGTACTAGAACAATATCCATATGTAGAAAAATAAATTGACAAAAGTTTCACAAGGTATTCAAAAATTAACTCAAAATTGATCATAGACCTAAATATACAGCATAAAACTATAAAACTCCTAGGTAGGATAAACATCTGGATGACAATGGCTTTAGTCATGAATTTTAGATACTATGCAATAACCACAAACAATCAAAAAAGTAGGTAAATTGGACTGTATCAAAACTGAAAGTATTGTTCTGTGAAAGATACTGTTAAGAGAATGAAAAGACAAGCCACAGATGGAGAAAAAAATTGCAAATCATATAACTTTTAATGGATGTATTCAGAATATATAATGAACCACTAGAATTCAACAATAAGTAAACAATCAATAAATAGTGAGCAAAATATCCAGAGACTTCACCAAGCAAGACATAGAGATGGCAAAAAAGCATATGAAAAGATGCTCAGCATCATTAGTCTCTAGGGAAGAAAAAATTAAAACCATAAGATATTACCACACACCTATTAGCATGGTTAAACGTTTTTTTAAAAAAAGAAACTGACAGTGCCAAATACTAGTGAGAATGCAGAGCAATAAAAATGCTCATTGATTGCTGTTGGAATGCCAAATAGTACAGCCACTTTGGACAATATTTCGGCAATTTCTTATTAGGTTAAACATACATTTACAATATGACCCAGTGATCCTAGTTTTAGTTATTTACCTAAGTGAAATGAAAACTCATGTTTACACAAAAACCTGTAGATAAAATTTTATATCAGCATTTTTTGTAATTGCCAAAAAGCTGGAAACAGTCAATATGCCCCTTAACAAGTGAATGGATACACAAACTGTGGTGCATCTATAGAATGGAGTACTCCTCAACAATAAAAAGAACAAACTTCTGATTCATGCAACAAAATGGATGACTCTTAAGCACATTTTTGTAAGTAAAATAAGCCAGACTGCAAAGGCAATAGATTGCATAATTTCATTTATATGACATTCCGGAAAAGGCAGAACTGTAGGGTCAGAAAACAGTTATAACAGCTTCATCTTATGTTGATATGTTAACCTGCCCCATCTACTTTCTTTTCCTAGAGAATTTGAATCATGCATAGGACCAGATCTCAAGGCTTAGTACGAAGGGGCTTTGATTTGCTCTGACATGGTCTCTTAACTATACGCTAGCCTACTAGGATGATCACAGCTGATATATACCCCTGAGGCACTACTCTTAACTAGCCTCACTCAACTTTATAACTTAACCTCTTATTTAGGGAAGACAAAGAAAAACAAGTTTTATAGTATACACTTTTTTTCTTATAAAGGCCAGCATCTGGCCTTTTCAGTATTATCATAATCATTTTCCTTATTTTGTAGTAGAAAACATTCTTCATAGGCACAGTACAAGCTATAGACCTGTAAAACTCTCAGACAGGAGGAAAAATATCAAAGAAAAGACCAAGTGCAAATTAATAACGCATAAAACACTTGCACCATAAAAATGAGAAAAGTATCATTAGTGTTGCAAATTATTGGAAGAGTAATTATCCCCAAGATGTTCAGGTTCCCGCTACATCTTGCTTGCAAATAACTGGAATAATGTGATAAGGAGATAAAACTGTCAGCCCTCAAATGCTTCGGGGATAAAGGCTGGAACATGAGACAAACATACCTGTATGAACAAGTTCAATGACAATGTGATGGAAATTGGAGATGGCGATGTTGTTGGTGAATATGTCATATAAGCCACTGTGGATGCTTTGGGTGTGTGCGTGATTTGAGCATTTGAATATATGGCACCGGCAATCTTGAATTGCTTTATTAAAAGAAAAAAAAGTAAAATGTCCCTTTCAGATATTGCCATTTGCTACTTTTTCCAAGCGAAAAAGACCCAACAACTGTATATATGGTTGGGCAACTTATTTATTGGAGTGATGCTCTCATTGGAGTGACGCCATCTGGATATAGAGGTTTCTCACCAGTTTTAGGGATATTGAAACATATTGAGACCATGCTGGGTTTTTCCATTTCCTAATTGTTGATTAGGGAAGAACTGCCTCTAACTTGTGCTCAAATGCAAGTCACGTGTTCATTTGTTTCTATTGACCAGGTCATCAGGGCATCCCCTGCATCTTCCACTTTAAAGATAGTCATGACAGTAAATCATGCTCGGTGAAACAAGTGCCATCCAAACTGCTCACACAACACCTTAGAACAGGAAGAGCTGAGCATTCTGGGCTGACTGGGTGGTGTGTAATACAATAGAACTTATGACAGAATCTCATTTAAATTTAATTGTATTGCAAGATCCTTTGGGATTTAAAAGAAACCCTAACTTTGGAGGATAATCACATCTTTGACCTGATTTTCCCATTTCCTAATGATAAAGTAGGGAAGTGCTGTCTCTAAATTCTGCTCTAATGCAAGTCAAGTGTTCAATAATTTCTGTTGACCTAAAAGGATCCATAATATTATCAGGAAATTCAACCTTCTTTTCCTAACGATATGTGTACACAGATCAAGTATTTCCAAAATATGTGGCTTTCCTTGGATGACAAGCACTTTTGCCTTCCACATGTTTAGTTGGCACTAGAATTGGGCAAGTCCTGATAAAACTTTAGAGAACTAAGTTGCATTGTGTGACTTCAGTAGCAGTGGCGTAGAATACTATCATTTTATACATTAAGACGATTTGTTCTATTTTTAAGCCTATCATCCTCACTGGATTCTTCTTTTAGAAATATACTAAATAGAAATCATTAGTATTTACATTGTCTTATGTCTTGTAGTCAACACTTTCACATACATTTTCTCCTTAAATTCTCTAGATATCGCTGGGACGTTTGATTGTATTTTTGTCATAGATGAGGAAACCGAGGCTTCCAGAAATAACTTGCCCAAGATTATGTTGTAAATAACAGTAGGGCTGCGATTCAGACCCAGGTCATCTGACTTCAGAGTCCAAGCCCTTTCTAGTATGCTAAGTAGTGATATTGCCTACAGTTTGTTCCATGTAAGGATAGAGGTGATGTCAGCTCTAAGCCATCTTATGCCCTAAATCATCTTAGAACCAGTCATCTAAACGGTAAATGAAGCCCCATTTGTTGATGTTAGAATACAACAAGATGATCTTTTTGAAAGAAAGATGGTGAATTCCACTTTGGACATGTGGACCATTTAAGAGGAGACGTTCAGTTGACATTGGATGTAGGGTCTAGAGAACGAGAAAGAAAAGTGGGCTGTGATATGGATCTTGAAAACTCTAGGTATAGATGGTAATTAAAACTATTGGAATGGAAGAGTCTTCTCTCAGCAAGGATATAGCTGTAACTTGAATGATGACATGACAGTGTTAAAAAAAAGTCAATCCTACTTATATTTAGCTTGTAGCTTTGTAACTACTATCATATCAGAGAAAAAAAGAAAGGAATGCCATATTCTTGAAGTACTACCCAGTGAACAACAAAATTTTTTTGTTGTAGTTTGCTACATGTTATATAGTGATAAAACATGACATTTAGACTTAAGCACTTTAAATAGTCCCTTGGGCTATATTCAGGGCACAGAACAGCTGTATGGGTAATTAAATAAAGCTAATTTAAATAAATTAGATTTACCAGAAAATCACTCAAAGTTTGCATTCATGAAAGTTTTTTTATGCAAAAAGTTGTTAATGCTATTTCTTCAAACTACATACCTTGAAAAATGGTGGGCTCTGGGACAAGAAATACATCTTAAAGTAGTAAAAATGAAAAGATTTTTCTCCTGATTTCATCCTGAAGGTGTAATCTTACTGATATTTTACACAGATGAATTGCAAGAGAAAGTTTTCAACATAATTGTCACTGAAGCATCAAGCAAAACGATAAAATAGAATAAAATATGCTTCTTTTAGTTTCTTTCACTGCATATATTTTACATACTACACATGCATCTTAGAAATGACATTACCCTTATTTTCAACAAAAGCTACCTCCTGAATATACTTTTATATCAGAATTTATATGAGAACTTATATTCTAGAAATTGGTCAGTTGTTACCTTTGTTTCTGGGCTTGAAAAGGGGGATGTTGATTTAGCAGTGCTAAGAATTTTTGGAATAAAAATGAGCCTATAACTACTTTTAATGTTCCTGACTGCAGGGCTGTTAGAATGTAATCATCAAAGGCTAGGAAATTGTTTTCATCAAAAAGCTGTAAGGAATATTTCTGGGAACCAAGGTGAATTAAGGTTTGACCTTTTAAAATATTGTCTTTCTTGACATCCTCTCTCACAGATACTTGTTTTCAGGTTTCAGGAATGAAGCGCATTGATCCTGTTCCTAGAGATCAGTCATAGGGGTAAACAGAAGGCTCTCTGATTTATGACTAACCTGCTGATAGTTCCTTGGAGAGGTCCACCATGCTCAGATTGAGAACCGTTTGAGGAACCGGGAATTCAGACTTTGCAAGGGAAACTGCCCGATTCAGTCCCCATTTCAGAAATGAAAGCTACTGCAATTTGAAATTGATTAGAGCCCAATATAAAGAAATCAAATACCTAGCCAATCCATAATAAAGAAATTTTTTTCTGGCCTTATGTATGACTAATCTCATTTCTTTTAAAAATGGGCATAGTGCAAGTGTTTAAAAATGCACTTGAATCTGAAGATGGAGAGGTACATTCCGGCTATTTCACTTAATCCTATTCTAGAACCAGTAGTCAGGGGAAAACTTAAGCCACCGAAGAGCTTCAAGAAAAATGTTTCAAAACAACTGAATGAATGGTCTATCATCAGCTATCAGTGTGATTTCACAGCAACTGTACGAAAAGACAATATTGTGTTCTATGTCTTTGTTAGTCATATTAAGTGTCATGGATATAAAATAAAGCAAATGCAGTAATTACATACAATATATTAATCAAATATCATTTCTCAATGCAAGTCATCCAAATTGAGGTTTATAAAAAAGTTCTTTATTTTAGGAAGTACATATCACATTTACATACCATATGCTTGTATGTCAGAAAGCGAGATGTCTCATTTGATTTGAATAAAATAGATATATATCAAATTATATATATATAATATAGATTTATATATATAATACATATAAATACTTTGTGTATATAGACTCTTGCCCTGAGCACATTTGTATTAAATAAAAATTTTTCCAAAAGTTGGAATAACATATTTAGTTTTTGTTTTCTCTTTTTTTTGAGACAAAGTCTTGCTCTGTCGCCCAGGCTGGAGTGCAGTGGCACGCTCTCAGCTCACTGCAACCTCCGCCTCCTGGGTTCAAGCAATTCTCCTGCCTCAGCCTCCTGAGTAGCTGGGATTACAGGCGCCTGCCACCATGCCCAGCTAATTTTTGTATTTTTAGTAGAAACGAGGTTTCACCATGTTGGTCAGGCTGGTCTCGAACTCCTGAGCTAGTGATCCTCCCACCTCGGCCTCCCAAAGTGCTGGGATTACAGGCATGAGCCACCACTCTCGGCCTGCTTTCTCTTTTAATCAGAGCACACAACAAAGCAGTTATGTTGCTACTTCCTTCAAATTCCTCTCAATATGAATGTAAATTTAATTTTTTTCCCTCAAAATAATTCACATATTCTTCTAATTCTCTCCTGAGTTGTAATTTACCCACAAAATTGGAAAGCTAGGATTATCTTTCATTCACATTCCTTTGTGTTCCGAGCTAATTCTGTTTCCCCAGTGTTGGCTGGGGCAAGTTCTTCTGGTAGAATGTACTTTTAGAATCAAACTGCTTACTACTGACTGTGAAAAATATAGCAATAGTGACTTCACATTTCTAGTTTGAAGACATTTGAGCTCACACTTTATTGGACACTTTCGGCTTAGTGTTCACTCTTTAGTCTGCATGTAATGAAGCCTTATGTCTGTGATAGATTTTCTTGAGAATTGGTTCTATACCTCTTATGAATATAATACTATATCTTTTGGGAGACTTAATGACAATTCCATTGATTATCTACAAATTACCCATATGTCATAATGAATGAACCAATAAGCTTCAAAGTCAATGTCTGAAACTTTTTAAAATGGTATAATCAATGCAGCAATTCCAACTATGATCATTTACTTTTAAGATATGTTGTTTCAATGTTTCAATGTTGTTACATTTAAGATGTATTGTTGTCTCAATGCCTACAATTTTCACAAGCACATATGTACACTGCTCAACGTTTTTAAAAATTACATCTAATTTAGAGACAAACTTTGTATTTTCCTTCCTAGAAAATAAAGCCCTTTAAGGAAATTTATTTTTCTGTTTTTGCCATTATTGCACCAAATACCAAATTATATTTAAACTAATGTGCTTCATCTAGTTAATTTTGTTGATTGGGTCCTGTCAAAACAATGTTATGGTGCCAGGTTCAATCCATACATAGTTTAAACAGCTTTGCTTTAGATAAAATATTAACATAGGAATTTCAGTTCCATAATAGGAAGAAGAAATACCTGGGTCAGTTTCCCCACAGATTACGAACAATCAACAATTCTGGATAAAGCTTTTAAAAATATCTTTAATTCATTGATGAGCTCTCAGGAAAGTAAGAAATCCTCAGGCCATAAAGTCTATGGGGTTACTGGGGCCCTTCTCTGTAGCTGGCTTTTGTCTCAGGTCCTTTGCCTGAGATAAATAGGAACTTCAATTTTCCAGGCCTCCAATGATACAGGACATAGGAGTCAGAATCCACGGTCCACTTAGAGCACTATGTCTGCTAGATTTTTATCCTTTTTTTTCCTTCTTCTTCTTTTGAGATGGAGTCTTGCTCTGTCACCCAGGCTGGAGTGCAGTGGCGCGATCTTGGCTCACTGCAACCTCTGCCTCCCAGGTTCAAGCGATCCTCCTGCCTCAGCCTCCCGAGTAGCTGGGATTACAGGTGTGGGCTAATTACATGCCTGGTTAATTTTTGTATTTTTAGTAGAGATGGGGCTTCACCATGTTGGCCAGCCTGGTCTCGATCTCCTAACCTCATGATCCACCCGCCTCGGCCTCCCAGAGTGTTGAGATTACAAGCGTAAGCCACTGTGCCTGGCCGATTTTTCGCCTTTAAAGCTGGAACACCAAAGTGTCCCCTTATAAGAGAAAACCAGAAATAAACCTATTCCCTGCAAATCCTAAGAACCACCCAGCACACTAAGTCTACTAGGAGACTTTCCTCCTTTACTGTAGGAAAGTCCCCAAAGAGTCCCCTTGTAAAAGAAAAGCAGAAATAAACCTATTCTCTGCAAAAATTTTCAAAAAGAAGAAACTTATTTTAAACCATGTGCTAAGCAGAGCTTAGGGAAGTGGGGTCTAGCCCCCAAAGGTAGCCGTTAGGAGAGTTTACAAATGAAATTCACATGAGTTTAGATTCCAAAACATCTCAAGGAAAAATGTAATTTAAAGTGATCCTGGACAGTAAGTGTCCCCAGATGCCCAGAAAAATCAAATGCAAATGCTCTCTAGCTGAATTTACCTTCATTGCAGCAAATGCTGTTGCTTATCCAGAACACACCAGTACATTCACATGAGCTTTTTACAACTGGTGTTGATTCTGATTGAGCCAGTATCTCTTTAAATTGCTTAATATTCATGCTATACCAGTTGTTAAACATTTTAAATATAAACCTGTTGAAACTAGCATCTTTTTTTCCCCAAATTCATCAGTTTATTTAATAGACGTGTATTAAGTACCTCTAAAGTTTGTTTAATGTAGAGAAACATTCAAATAGAAACATTTTTTTTCCTGGAAACCAAAGTGATTGTGAACAAGTATTTTAAATATTAAGTGCTGAAATCATGACATATATTTAAATATATTTAAGGTTATGCAAGTTAAATTGTAAAATTTCACAGAATGGTTTTGTAATTTCTATCTCATGTTATTTAGCTTGTATTCAGGTCTCATTTTTTAATCAATTTAGTCAATTACTTTAATTTTTACTTCTAAATTTCAATAATTTAGGCATACAAATGGTTTTGTTACATGGATGAATTGTATAGTGGTAAAGTCTGGGCTTTTAGTGTACCTGTCACCCAAATAGTGTTACTTGTACCCAATAGGTAACTTTTCCATCCTCACCCTCCTCCCAGCCTTCCTCTTCTGAGTCTCCAATGTCAGTTACACAACTCTGCATAGCATCTGTTTTGATTTTATAGTGCCCATACCATAGGAATTGTTAAATATTCTTAATTATAATCCTGATCTCATCCTAAAATAATTCTTTAAAAGAAAGTTCCAAAAAAATTGAGATTACAGTAAAAAAAAAATAGCCAAACACATATGGAAACACCTCCACAGAAGAGAAATGGTAGAAATCAGAGACAGCAAGAATAAATCTGGAAGTACTTTGGATACTGTAATATCAAATTGAGACCATGAAAAAAAATTAAGTATATTTATGCAATACAAGCTTGAAAAGAAATTATAAGGAATGTCCAAGCAGAATTTAAAACAGAACCAAATAGAAGTGAAAAAATGTAATAATTGAAATTTAAAATTATATGGATGATTTAACAACAGATTAAACACAGCAAAAGAGAAAAATAGAAAGTTGGAAGTTATATTTGAAGAAATTATCCAGAATTCAGTGCAGAGACACAAAGAGATGAAAAACATAAAAGAGAAGGTAAAAGATATAGAGGCTAGAGGGAAAATAGGAAAGGTTAACAAAGATAAAGTTGTTCATTGAAAGGGCTAACAAAATTTGCATAATCCTGGTAAGGTTTTTTAAGAAAAAATAAGGCAAAGATTAACAATAACAATAATAAAAAGGAAAACATAACTATGGATTCTGCAGACTTTTTTTCCTCCCAAATCTATCAAATTGTAAGTCTGCAGACATTTTAAAAGGTAATAATTGGATATTATGGACAATTTTATGCAAAAAACATGAAAACTTACTTGGAATAAATTTACTAAAATACACAATTTTAATATAAGTAGTCTGAAGGAATTTTAAAAGGTGAGACCATCATCAAACATTTTTCCACAAAGGAAAAGTTCAGGCTCAAATATCTCCACTTCGAGTTCTACCAAACTTCAATAAATAAATAGTTTCCATTGTAAACAGACTATTCCAGGGTATAGAAAAAAGTAGAACGCTCAGTTCATTTCCTGAAGCTAGAATAACCATAACTCCAAATTTGATATTGACAATGTAAAAGACCATCCACAAATTTGGGTGGCAAAAAATATATATGAAGAATTCTTACAAATCATGTGCCTAATGACACAAAATGTAAATAATGTAATATGAAAATGGACTGTCTTCTGATTGCCCTATGGAGGACAGGACCCACCATCCTCCACCCAAAAGTTGTTGAGAGGCCGAGACTGAGGTGCCACACATACACCAAGACATAATGAAGTAATTTATTACATATTGAAGCTTTCTAGGAAAAGCAGGGTGGACACTCTGTTTAATCTGAAAATGGCTTGGGTTTTTATTGTCATTAGGGGATGGGACTGGGGTGTGTGTTCCCACATGCAGTCTAGAATTTGTGCCATCTAGTCTTCCTGCGGGTTCCAAAGGAGGGAGTGTGTGGAGTACAAAACTTTATTGAGGCATACAAAATAAATTTGAATTAAGGAACACATATTTTACATCAGACTAAAAATTGCAATGATGTCATAGCTTAGACTGTTTCCCAGCATCCCTTACAACCGGGTGTTGCGCCAGTTCCAAAATTGGCCTTGTATGTTTTTATCATGTTTGTAAAGGCTTTTATAACTTTCTCTACATGAACTTCACCCTCTCTTCCTCTCTGCCAAACAGATGCAGCTGACTGAGCTAATGACTCTGAGACATTTCGGATAAGAAGATGTAGCAAGCTGTTGGTCTACTCACAGGGAGGAAAACAGAAAAATAAATACCTGGATCTCACACTCCGTTTTTCTCCTATTTTCAGCATTCTGCTGGTGCTCCCTGTTGATTGAAGTCAACCAGAATCCAGAGAGGAAGTGAGTCCATTTGGATAATCCACGTAGGTCAGACTCTTGGGGGCACAAATTAGTCTGCAGAAGAAACTACTACACAATCTACTGGTGTTAACGTTTTACTAGTTTGACCACAGCGTAGAATATTACCTCCTATTTATAAATGGTTTAAATGTTCCTTTCGTGTAGATTTAGAAGCACTTAAGACATTATTATAGTTTTTACTTCAACACTCAAATATACTCTAGAAAACCCAAGACAAGGAAAATGTATTATACAGTCATGTGCTGCAAGATGATGTTTTGCTCAGTGACGGAATGCATATATGATGGTCCCGTAAGAATATAATACCATATTTTTACTGTATCTTTTCTAGGTTGTGATAAATGAATTTTTTTCACTGTGTTACAGTTGCCTACAGTATCCAGTACAATGACATGCTATACATGTTTGTAGCCTAGGAGCAATAGGCTATACCATACAGCCCAGACGTGTAGTAGGCTAGTCCACTGGGTTTGTGTAAGTATAGTCTATGATGCTCATGCAATGGCCAATTTGCCTAATGACACATTTCCCAGAACATATCCCTGTCATTAAAAGATGCATGATTACATTTTACTCTTTCCGTTATTCTTTTTTATTTCCTGATGTTTCATGGTCCTTCATTTATCATTTCCTTTTTGTTTGGAAAACTCAATTTAGCTATTACTTTAGGGTAGTTCTCTTGGCTACAGTTTCCCTTACTTTTCTTTCTCGTGAGAATTCTTAAGGTCCCCTTCATTGGTGAAGGTTGCTTTCACTGAATATCGGATTGTGGATTGATTGCTCTTTCCATTTAGCACTTTCATTTGTATCACTTGCTTCTGGCCTTCATGGTTTCTAATGAGAAGTCCACTATTATTCAAACTATTTTCCCCCTATAGATCCTGTGTCATTTCTCTCTTGCTGCTTTCTGCTTTCAAGATTTTTCGCTTCTTTTTATTTTCAGAAGTTTGACTATAATGTGTCTTGGTGTCTTGGTGGTTTCTTTCATTCCTTTAGGTTTATCCTGTTTGGAACCATTTACCAAATTTGAAAGGTAAGCCATTTAGTCCTGTTTTCTTTCTTTTCTCTTTCCAAAGGCTCTGATGACAGGAATGTTTGATCTTTCTGTAGAATACCACAGATCCCTGAGGTTCTGTTCATTATTTTTTCAGTCTATTTTCCCTGTGATGTTCAAATTTGCTGTAATTTGTCGTTCTAACTTCAAGTTCACCAATTCTTTCCTCTGCCCTCTTCACTCTGCTCTTGAGCCATCCATTGTGTTTTTTATTTCAATTATTATATTTTTCAGTTCTAAAATCTCCATTGGGTTCTTCTTTATCTCTTCAATTTCTTTGTGTTTTTTGTGTTGTTTTTGAGACAGGGTCTCACTCTATTGCCCAGACTGGAGTGCAGTGGCGTGATTTCAGCTCGCTACAGCCTCAACCTCCCAGGCTCAAGTGATCTTCTTACCTCATCCTCCAAGTAGCTGGGACCACAGGCATGTGCCAACATGCTTGGCTAATTTCTTTTTTTTTTTTTTTTTTTGTAGAGATGTGGTCCATGTTGCACAATCTGGTCTCGAACTCTTGGGTTAAACTGATCCTTCTACCCCAGCCTCCCAAAGTACATGAACCACTATGCCTGGCCTCTCTTCAGTTTCTTTGCTGAGCCTTCCTACTTTTCATTTTTTCCAAGCATGTTGATAATTGCACATTGCAACTATTTTTTTTTGAGACAGGGTCTTGCTCTGTCGCCCAGGCTGGAGTGCAGTGGCATGCCCACAGCTTACTGTAGCCTCAACCTTCTTCTAAGTGATCCTCCCACTTCATCCTGAGTAGCTGGGACTACAGGCACATGCCACAATGCCTGGCTAATTTTTATATTTTTTTTTTGCAGAGATGGAATTTCACCATGTTGCCCAGGCTGGTCTCGAACTCCTGGGCTCAAGTGATCTGCCCGCCTCATCCTCCCGAATTGCTGGGATTACAGGCATTTGGCACTTCAACCAGCCTTGAAGCATTTTTATGATGGCTGCTTTAAAATATCTTTAGACAGATGTTAGATAATTTTAACATCTGTCATGTTGATGTTGGTGTCTATTGACTTTTTTTCATTTTAGTAGAGATTTATCTGTTTTTTTAACTGAAAACTAGACATCTTGGGTAATATGTTACAACACTCTGTGTCTTATTTAAACCTTTTGTTTTAGCTGTCATAGCTATGTCTCTGACATAGCTCTCATAGGTAAAGACCTGGGAGAATGAAAAAGGGGCAGTGGCCTGATTACTGCAAAATGAGAGAAGTCCAGGTTTTTCTCTTGGTCTCTGCTAAACTGTGACAAGGAAGGGGCTCTGTGCTGTTGCTGGGCTCCTCACCAGGCCTCACTGATGCCACCTTGGCTGGGAGAAGTAGGAGTGCCTGGCTACTCCCCCTCAAAAGGCTTTCACTCATGCCACGGGAGGAGAGATGTCCTTGGCACATGTGGGTCATGGTAAAAGACCTAACTCTCCAGAAGCCTACTCTGATACCACCCAGCAAGGGGGCTTGGGTGCCTCATTACATTCTAGCAAGGGTGGAAGTCTAGGCTTCCGGGTAAGTCTTTGCCAGCGTGGGTTGTGGTAGGGCCATGGGTTTTTCCGTGGTGTTTGTCTAGATTAGAGCAGTTGTCGTTGACGCATTTTCTGTTTTACTAGGCTGCCTCTGGTCCTTTGGCTGGAGAAGATAAGAGGTCATTGGGCTTTTTCTTTGCCCACACCTGTGGGCATTCCTAGGTCCCCAGGTTCTGGGATATATGAGTCAGACAAGCCCAGGGATCCTATCGCCTTATTGTTTCTGGGTTTTAAGTTCCCTAGCCAGTCTGTCTTCTCTCTGCCTTACAGAGTCTTCTTCTATTTGTTGTTGTTGTTGTTGTTGTTGTTGTTGTTTGTTTTGTTTTTCAAGACAGAGTCTCGCTCTGTCACCCAGGCTGGAGTGCAGTGGCATTATCTCGATCTCAGCTAACTGCAACCTCCGCCTCGTAGGCTCAAGCCATCCCCCCACCTCTACCTCCCAAGTAGCTAAGACCACAGATGTGCACCACTATGCCTGGCTAAATTTTTGTATTTTTAGTAGAGATCGGGTTTCACCATGTTTCCGAGGCTGGTCTTAAACTCTTGGACTCAAGTGATCCACCCATCTCGGCCTTGCAAAGTGTTGGGATTAGAGGCGTGAGCCAGCACATCTGGCTTATATTTGATTTATGTTAAATGTCCACGATTTTAGCTGCACATAATAGAATAAATAGGAAAAATTACACCTACTGCATCTTCCTGGAAGTAGAAGCCTACTGGGATTTTTTAATATATTGTATTTTTCTCCTCTAAAAATATTAATTTTTAGCTGTATTTACTTTACCACATATATTTTTAAGCTTAAATCTATGTTTATCTGATTTTGATGCTTACTGACATGGTTTCACAACTTCCCTCTTGTAAAAATATTTCTCTTTGACTCATTCCTCGTCTACTAGAAAGTAAGATTTGAGTAATATTTTTAGGAAAGATATAAGAATTGTTTAGTTTCTTAGTTTTTAAATATCCAAAAATACCTTTCCGTTTCCTTTATTATATATTCCATATGTCTGTGTAAGATTCTTGGGCTTCACATTTTCTCTCAATTCTCTGACCATACTTTTCCATTATTTTCTGATACTCACCTGATTATTGTCTTAGGATGACATGTTTTATCTACCTAATGCATGTAGAAACTTTCTGAATTCAGGCTGCACTATTATCAACAGATAAGATTACATATAGTTTTCTTTTATATTTTTTGCTACTTAGTTAACATTTTTGGTTCAGGACTTTGAATCTTTTCCCTGGTCAGCAAAGTTTGTGTTTAATAAATATGCAAGTGGTTACTTCTTCTGGTCTCTCTGCACTGATCTCCAATCACGTTTTGTAAGTTGCAGTGGTTGCTGTATACAGCTATCCCACTGGGACCAGGAGGCAGACCTTTGATCATACAGATTGCGAAGCTTTTCTCTCTCTTGCTATAAGTCTAGTGGTTTTGTGAGGATTTTTCTAGACTCCCTTGGTACATGTTTTCTATCTGCTCAGAGGATCAGGGTCTTCTATAGCCATGGTGCAAATGATATCATACAATCTTATCAAAGCCCGCCACTGAAAGACATGACATGTTCCAAATTTTTATTAATGGCAAACATATTACTCCCAATCTCACCTTCTTTAATACGATGAAAAAAAAGTTGAGAGAATTTCTTTGTGAGAGTCAATTTTATAACTCCTATACAACTGGAAGTGTGAAGTCTGCTACTTTAGGATGTCTATGGATACTTCCTCAATGGCCAGTCAGAGCATATGCTACAAGTTCACCCGAAAAGCAAGCTGCCAGGAAATAAGAGATAAATCAAAGATGTTGTATGTTAAGAAAAGTTGCTGCTTTTACAAACGCAATTGCCATTTTACTGCTGAAATAAAAAGGCTTCTCAGAGTTGGGATCATATACAATATCTTCTCAATAATAGGAATCTAGGGAGAATAAATCCCAGTTCTTTATTGTCTTCCATGACATCTCCACATTATTTCTGTGAGATGAGGACAGAGATCGTGACTCTGGACAAAGGAAAAAGATGAATTCATCACCCTGTGCATGCAAATATTAATGAAAATCACGTGTGTGTTTGCGTGTGTGTGTATGTGATGGGGATGTTGGTAGTAGTGCTGTAGGTGCATCTGTAGCACAGCTCACAAACCACTAAAATCTCCTGGACCTATACTCCATGTCTTTCATTATTCCTCACTCTTTTCTCCTCAATTATTGAAGAATTTTAAAGTTTTGTCTTTTGCTCTACAAGTTTGTTTTTTCTGCAGTGTCCAAGCTCAGGTACACTGCCCTCAATCTGATTTTTGTTCTACATTTTTAACTCCATGCAGTATCTCTTGACCTCAGTTTTTTCTCTTGTTTTGGGTGCTATATTTGCTTGAATCACAGAGATACCATGAATCAGGGCATTTCCCCCTGTCAATTTCAGGTGCAGGTGTCTGCTCTGATTCTTTGTGGTCTCCTCCCTGTTATTTGAGTCTGGATTATTTTCCTCCGGGTCTAGTATATAAGACTTCTGCTTGCTTATCCTTGCAGCAAGAGCTCCATTGGCTTATAGCTGAATTCAGCATTGAAATGGAGCCTGTCAAAGACAGATGTGGAATTGTGCCCAATTTTTTCATATTTAGACAAGAGGGAAAGGGAAACATAAATCTGCTGTAAATTATCATTCTCGATTCACAATGTAAGCAGCCTGCAGAAGTGGAGCGGAAGCTGAAACCCTGCACAGTCCCAGCAAAGATCTGAGTCTCCATGTTATTTATTCTCTGTATTTAGTGAACTGCCATGCTGGGTTCCAGCTCTCAGGATAATCAATTTCTGTTTGGCAAATTCAGTGCCAGGTATGAGCTGCAGCAGTACCTGGCAAGCCCAGTGTCCCTCTCCCACACAATGCTGTCATTCAGTTTATTATAGCTCATTCTTGCAAACACAAACCCCTGAATCAGCCACAGTGGTAGCTGGCTTCACAGCGTGCTAATCCACATAATGTTTGCAGAGAGTCCCCAACAGATGCACCTTTGCTTCCCTCCTCTGCCACCTATCTGACTAATGAGTTGTTAGTTGAGTTTTGCCAATATCTTCTCACTTTCTTGGGATTCTGCTCTTTCTTATAAGAAATATTTTCAAGTTAGCTGTCTATATATATTCTGTTCTATTTAGTTAGTTGTTTCAATGGGAATCTAGGAGGTGGCCATTAAAAAGGTCTATTTTCTGCTCGCCTATTGCCAGCAATTTCTCCTATTAACTTTAACACTAGTGTTGAACGTCACCCTCAGCTTCTGACTGCTAATGTCTTTCCTCTCTGTTTCTTTTCCTTTTTTTAAACTTTCTGAGCAGACTAAAATTCCTCCAGAGACTTAAAAGCAAAGTATGGTACCTTCAGAAACTAAGCAGCTTATACTACGAGAGCAATTGCTGCAATAATTATGGAAGCTCTAGCAATCATATTCATACATTTTTATTCATTTATTCATGTAGCAAACATGTACAAAACACCAAGTATTTAAGTTCCATGCTGAGCATGAGGAGTCATAGTTTTAAATGTCCTCCTCCATTAAAATGTCATGTAAGGCAGACAATAATTAAATAGTTATGATTTAGTATGGTAAGAGCAACAAAAGATCTGGCTGGAACACCCAAGGATGGTAACGCTGAATATCATTATTATCATGCAGATTGGAATGGATTTCCCAGAAAACTTAATGAGTAGATTTGAAAAAATAAATAGATGTTTGATATGGTTTGGATGTTGTGTCCCCTCTAAAACTCATGTTAAAATGTGACCTCCAAAATTGGGGGTCAGGCCTAGTAGGAGGTGTTGGGTCATGGAGGTGAATCCTTCACGAATGTCTTGTTGCTATCCTCATGATAACAAGTGTGTTCTCATTCTGAGTTCATGCACGATCTGTCTCTTTAAAAGAGTGTGGCGCCTCTCCCCTCTCTCTCTTTCTAGCTCCCTCTCTCTCCATGTGAGACACCAGCTCTCCCTGTGCCTTCCACCATGACTGGAAGCTTCTTGAGGCCTCACCAGGAACAGATGCCACTGCCATGCTTCCTGGACAGCCTGCAAAACCATGAGCCAAAATAAACCTGTTTTCTTTGTAAATTACCCAGTCTTAGATATTCCTGATAGCAATGCAAAACAGACTAATACAATATAGTTCTAAGGGGCCTCTTGGGTGAGAATGGGAGAAAATTTCAACTGTCACCAAATCAGCTTCTGTGGCATTACCATCTAGACACCTTTATCGATATTCTCTTATCATGGATCAAGTCTGACTCTACACTGGTAAGTCAATAGAAAGATTAAAACAAACAAACGAAAAAAGGTAGCACACTTTCTTAGCCTCCACAGCAACTGGTATAAATAGAACAAGACACTTTGGATAAATCAGTCCCCATTCAGCTATCATTTTTATTTGTTTGTTTCTAGTGTCACTATAGTTTGGACACTGGGGGAGGAACTTCAAAGTCAGATGAACAGCTGTGAGTTGACACATTGCTGTAGAACCCAGGGAAAGAAGCTCTGGCTCTTCTTTATTGTTAAGATAAATCCATAGTTAAGGGGAACATCACACTCTGGGGACTGTTGTGGGGTGGGGGGAGGGGGGAGGGATAGCATTGGGAGATATACCTAATGCTAGATGACGAGTTAGTGGGTGCAGCGCACCAGCATGGCACATGTATACATATGTAACTAACCTGCACATTGTGCACATGTACCCTAAAACTTGAAGTATAATGATAATTAAAAAAAGATAAATCCACAGTTGTTCTTTGCTTTTACAAATGTTCAAAAGTCTGACATCATGAGCACAGCCTAGGCAAGAGTGAACTCAGTGTAAGGACACACAAGTGCATGCTACAACAGTCAAGAGGCTGTCGTGAATGAAATGGGACTTTAGTGGAGTTATGAAAAGTAAATTTTCAAAGGCAGAGGAAAGGAGGAAGGACAAAGTCTTGGGAATCATGTAGAAACTTGACTCGTTCAGGAAAGAGTGAGAAGAGGAACATGAATAGAAGGAAGGGTTCCAGCCAATGAGCAGTAAGGCTGGGAACACAAGTTAGTGCCAAATTACAGAGGATTTTAATTGTCACAAAGATGAGTTTAAATGTTACCTTTCTTGAAAATGTTTGGGATTTTTTGAGAAAGATAATGACAGGATTTTAAAACTAAAGCTTAGGAGAAATTAATCTGGTATGTGTGCCTATGATGGCTAATTTGGTAAAAATGATATCACATGAGCATTTCATACATCGAGAAAAAAAAATCCCCTGTCCTGAAATTCTCTCCTCCGTTGGTCCAACAACACTGCACTTTTCTGCTTCACCTCCAACTATTCTGTCTTTGTCCTTTTTTACTCTCAGACATTTTATTGACTTCTCCTCTTCCTTTCATTCCTTCATTTGTTCATCATCGATTCATTTAAACAGCTATAATAATGATGAAACCGTGGGAAATATTGCGAGAATTAACAGAATGTGACAAAGTCAGCATGTGCTGTTGGAACACTGGCACCAACAGATTTGGCTGATGAAGAGTTGCCCGAAACCTTCAATTTGTCAAAACCACAATATTTGCAAAGTGTAATAAAGTCAAGCACATTCAAACAAGGTATCCCTGTGCACTCCCTTCCCCAGGTCACTTCGTCTCTGATAAAACTAGCAGGTTAGGTTCTGGTTAAATAGTTTCACCTGAGGGCCGACCTCCTTAAGAGCACAGAATGCTCTGGTGCATTTCAAAATGGCTGGCTTTCTCTTGCTGCTGCTGCTGGAGAGTGAGGGGATGTTTCTACAGTATCCACAGTAAAGACCTGGTAGAGATCCAGGACATAAAACTCCCAAAAGTGTGGGGCCCTCCCAATGACTGGATATCCCTGGAGTTTTCACCTCTGAGACTCCTCCACTCGGATCCTCCAGGAATTGGTCAGTTACAGCTCAGCTGTCCCCCTCCCAGTACTGCTTCCTGGGCCGTTTGGGCTCTGGTAAGTTGTGATTCTCTGTATTTGTCCGTTGGTCTCTTAAGTTTGGGGGTCACTGGTTACCCTTTGACCTCACTTTTTATGGATCTAAGAAGAGTTATTGGTTTTTCAGTTCGTTCAGCTTTTTACTTGTCGTTAGGATGGGGCGACCAAACTCCAGCTTCTTATGTGCCGGACTAGAAAGGAGAAGTCCAAGGAAAACCCCTGGGTGTTTAAGAAGAAACATTTGGCCCATCTAGGAGCATAGTGAGAGGCTTCCTGGTTTATTTGGTTAATTTAAGTGGTGAGCATTGGTTAATTTGAGTGGTGAGCATTGTGTAACTAAGCTGGACTGATTCGAGGGAAGAGAGGTAGGAAAGTGCATGTACCGAGGACTCCATAAAATGCCTGTGATAGTATTGGAGATGGAAAGTTTTTTTTTTGTTGTTTGTTTGTGTTTGTTTTGAGATGGAGTCTTGCTCTGTCATCCAGGCTGGAGTGCAGTGGCACGATCTCAGCTCACTGCAACCTCCACCTCCTGGGTTCAAGCGATTCTCCTGCCTCAGCCTCCGGAGTAGCTGGGATTACAAGCGGGTGGCACCACGCCCAGCTAATGTTTGTATTTTTAGTGGAGATGGGGTTTCACCATGTTGACCAGGATGGTCTCGATCTCTTGACCTCATGATCCGCCCGCCTCGGTCTTCCAAAGCGCTGGGATTACACGCATGAGTCACCGCGCCCGGCCTGGAGATGGAAAGTTTTATAAGCTGTTTCAAAGTGTCGTGATTTATGTCAACCTTTACTAAATGTAATTAGTAACATCCAAAAGACATTGATCTGACCCAGGCTGGGTCTGTTCAGTGAAGAAATAAGCCTTGATGAAAAGGGGCCCTATGTGATTTATGTTTTAAAGGAGACAGAGACATACAATGGAAGAAACATTAGCTTTGATGTCACACAGCTGGATTTGGACTTGGGCTCACTAGCTGAATGACCTTCAGGAAGTTGTTGACCTTCTGAGTTCACTCCTCAGGTTTACCTGGCGAAGTGAACGGATGAGATTAGCATGTGTACAGTGTCAGGCACTTAGTAAGTGTAATGTTTCTTAAGAATCATGTTGAAAAGATCCTACTTTATAAGGGATGATGTTCCTTTGTGTTTCGTTGTTTGCATATTGTTACTGATACTGAATTAATTAGTTTGGCATACAATGGCGTGTGATAATTGGAGTGTGAACAAATTAATTCATTCATGCTGTTCCATCTTCACACGTTTAAATGGCTCTGTTCTTCATTTACCTCCTTCAGGGGGCTTTATGTATATCCCTTCTATCAATTAAAGTACTTTGTAGTTTAAGTTTGTTTCCCCACGTATTTTGAAAATGCTTGGAAAGGACTTGGTCTTATGCTTCAATGTAGCTCAACTACCTAGCAGGATATCTCTCTCATAGCAGGAGTAAATAATACCAGCTGATGATCATGAAAGACTAGATCAAGTTTTAAAAAAAATGAATAAACCACCATAACTGTCCTTAATAGATTTAATACACCATCCTTCATACTAGATGGGTATATGTCACGGTGTTTATATCAAAGTAGAAATAGGCAAGTTTTACTTAAAAATATGGAAGACATATAAATATATAAGAATGAATCTCGAAGAAAGTTTGTATATGTATATAAGTTTGAAATAGGCATAGCAGATGATTAATAAGTAAAATTCTCCATGTAGTCTCGACTTTGGTTAAGATAATTTATAATATCTGATTTTAGTTTTATTTCAGATGTGAAGGTTGCCACTCACAGTATAATGACATACTTCTAGTAAAATTGATATTTAATGCTTATTGAAATTATCCATTAGTGATTAAAATGACATACTTTATAACTCAGCAAACTCTAAATCTACAACTATAGGTAGACTACAATCCTACAAAATCAGTTGATTTGGAGTCTGAAATTAGTTAGAAAGCTTTCATTAATAAAGCACAAGTACATAAACAAAAATCTTAATATCTAGACTTAATGGCTAAAAAAAATTGTATCCGTTTAAAAATAGAGATTCACATTTGTGACTCTTGTAAAAGAAACTAATGGCATCTGACGTTATGTGACATTATTGGACATATGTGGCAAATTTATGTAGGTGGCAGTCCACTACCACCCTGCCAGAAGGGCCTTCTGTTCACATGAAGTCTTCACTGGCCAAGCTAATCCCTTTGTTATGATAGTAATTCAGGCTTGGGGTCATTTTTCCCAGCACAAGGGTAGAAGAATAAGAAATAGTAGAGATGAAGTTTTCGATTATTTTTCCTTGTCGACTTTGGAATGTAAAATATAAACATCACACTGAAATTTTCTAGATGCCCAGGTTCTCATCGCTAATGGATTGATGGCACTTCGTGACGTATTATTAATAAGGAGAGTCATGATGACACTGGATATACTGCTGCTTTGGAAATAAAAGTTGTTGAATATCTAGTAGACATATGCATAATTTGTCTACCATATCCATAGATGCTTCTTAATGTGCTTCACCCATAGTATACAAGGAAAGAGAAACAAATAGAGAATGCTGATTTTCCAACCAAGAGAATTAGATAGCACAGTATTTATGCTTCACTGCATGATGGAATTGCTCTGTCATTCTATGTAGGCATAGCTCTTAACATTTTATCACTGTATAGTGAATATTGGATATATTTGCCACTTTCTTATCACTGAAATCCACAACATTACCTGGTTCAATTGCATCTACATTAGAGGAGGTATTGGTTTGGTAGGATGCTTCTCCATGATTTTAAGTAGAGCTACATGACTTTGTACCCTTTGAGTTTAAATATCTTTATGTTCCAGAATCTTTAGGGACACAGAGGACAAAACTTATAGTAACAGTATTCTGTTTTACAACTTTGTTTCTGATTTCATCTGAATCTCTCAAATAAGTAGGCCTTGATCCAATGATTTAGAATTGATATTTTTCTTCTATCTTATTATTTCCAGGGCTAGTTCCATCCCTAGGAGGATGGTATATAATTTTTCTCATAATTTTTGATCAAAACGCACTTGGTCTCCCAGAGCTTAGTGCCATGATTATATCTTGCCCTCTCTTGATTCTTAAATATATGCTTTTTCACTGATACCTTTCACAGTGTCTTTATACATGCAGTTTCCCACTTACCTTAAAAATATTTTGAAGTTCCTTCCTCCTCTGGTAACCTCCTTATGGTTTGCCTTACTTTTAGCTCTCAAATTCATAATTCCTATCCACTACCTACGTTTTCTCAACATCTGTTACTTGCTAGGTCTTTGAAATTCTGCTTCTGTACTCTAAAATCACTAAGGAAACATTTCATGTCAAATTCAGTGACCTCTTCTTGGAGACTTCTCTATGAACTTGGATATTGTTGATCATCTTCTCATTCTTGGATGTTCTCTACATTTCCCTGGCTATGCACATGACTGAGTCTCTTACCGTTTGTATCTGTTTTGTTGAGTTCTATTACTTCTGCTACCCCATAATTTTAAACACATCCAGTTCTTAGATACTCTCTGCCTCTGATCTTCTCCTTAAGTGTACAAAAGAGTGAACCACTCCTGCTTCCTTGCTCTAACCATTATCTCCTTGAGGGTGATTTTCGAACATTAGCCTATCTTAAGCACAAGCCCTCATCTGAGCTTTAGACTCTTATCTCCAACATGTTGTAACATAGTTACCCTTGCTTTTTTTTGCTTTATGCCAAACCCAATGTGTAAATATCAATTTTAAAGGCTGGCACATGTTAGAGTTAAATAAATTTTAGTTAAATGAGTGAATGAATAAATAAATCCTTATTAAGAGATGCACAAATGTTTTTAGATTATTTTGTTTGTTTTGAAACATGTTCTCACTCTGTCACCCAGGCTGTAGTGCAGTGGCGGGATCATGGCTCACTGTAGCCTCGACCTCCTAGGCTCAAGCAATCCTCCTACCTCAGCCTCCTGAGTAGCTAGAATTACAGGCATGTACCAGCACACCCAGCTAATTGTTTTGTATTTTTTGTAGAGACAGGGTTTTGCCATGTTACCCAGGCTGGTCTTGAACTTCTGGGCTCAAGCGATCCTCTTGCCTCAGCTTTCCAAAGTGCTGGGATTACAGGTGTGAGCCACTATGCCAGGCCTCTTGGGAATTTTCAAAATTATTAACCATCTCTTTTTAGCGCCCATCATCACCCTTTTAGTTCTTACCTTCATCATCTTATGCCTAAGACAGTCTTCTAATCAAGTTACTCTGACTTTATTTCTCCTTGATCCAAAACAGCCTACATGTTGTTACCACTTGGCTCTTCCAAAATGCTAATTTAATTATATCACTTGCATACTGATAACTCTCCATATCTCCCCAGTACTTAGAGGACATAACCTACACATTGCCCTCCCCAGTGTAAGCTCACCACTAAAGCTAGATCAAATGGTTGATGCATTTGTAAATGCGGTAGGTGTCCAAAATTATGCTTTATAAGTGTTGCGGCCATACTCCATTAAAAAAGTGTCTCCCCAAAAGAACTGAGCTATCAAGCTATTAAAAACCATGGAACAAACTTAATACATATTGCTCAGTGAAAGAAGTCAGTCTGAAAAGGCTATCTGCTGTATGATTCTAACTATGTGACATTCTGGAAAAGGCAGAACTGTGGAGATAGGAAAAAGATCAGCAGTTGCCAGGGGTTAGGGAGGTAGGAATAGGCACAGCACAGAGGATTTTAGGGCTATGAAGCTGCTGTGTATAATACTTTAATGGTAGATACATGTCATTATACATGTGTCCAAATCCATAGAATGTACACACCAGGAGTTTATCCTAATGTAAACTCTCACCATTGTGTGATAATAATGTGTCAATGTCAGCTCATGGATTGTAACAAATGGACCACCCTGATGTGGGATGTTGGTCATGGGGGAGGCCATGCATGTGTGGGGACAGAGTTAGATGGCAAATCTGTATACTTGCTGTTTAGTTTTGCTGTGAACCTAAAACTGCTCTTAAAAAATAAAGTCTATTTTAAATAGCCTCTCCCCGAAACCTCACCCACAGAATAGATTATGAAACTTTTAGATTTCTGTCCTCATGGTAGGTGAAAATAGTATCTTGGGATAGTTGTCATTTGTGTTTCTCTTACTATAAAGGAAGGAATTTATTTTTCTGTGAACTCCATTCACGACCTGTGTTCATTCTATGGGGTTGCTAGTTTTTTCTTACCCATTTTGAAGAGTTCTTTAATAGTGTTTTAAAAGAGTTTCATTATGTTTTGCTTTGCTTTGTTGAAGTTGAATTCCTTTTATGTACAAGGATTTTAATTGGTATTAAAACTTCCTTTTTTATATTATTATATAATACCTTTAGTCTCCTAAACCATTGATTGGATCACTAAATTTCATGTTACTCTCCCTCCCTTCTCTCTTCCACCATTCTGTTTTTGTCAGAAGTACTTTTTAGTGTTCAGTTTTGTACTCTTAAATACTTTTATTTAAAGAAAAAGAACTTTTATTACCACACTTCTTGTCTTTAAATGATATCCTTTAACTCCTTGCGATCGTAGATGATAGAATCAGTAACTCTACCTTCACTTTTTTCTCCTTTCCCAATTTTTAGCATTTGTGGTACCTCTGCATTAGCAGAGCAAACAACATTTCCTTTCCTTCCTCTCACCCCAATCTCCACATCTGTTGATCTGCTCATCAGTTAAGTATTTTCCGTTTGTACCAACAGTACTTTCACCATAATTTCTGTCATCGTCCCTTGCTTTGCGAAGACATCCTCTAATATTTTATTCAAGTGAGTATCCTTTCAGTTCTGGTATGTTTCATGTTCTTTGTCTTATATACTTGAAGAACTTTCTAGGCATCACATTTCTGACTTTTTAGTTTGAAAATCTAGAATGTTGCTCTACTATCTTTGTGTTGAGAAACCTGATGTGAGCCCAGTGTTTCTCTCTTAAAATAGTGTGGTTAGTGGCCCTGGTTTTTCCTAGACAGTCTTGTCATATGCCTGTCTCAGCATCTCACTGTATTTAGCATTTTCCTTGTCCCTTTTACTCTCAAAAGGGTCCTAGTCTGGATGCTAAACTAAGTAGCCATCCTACCTTATAGTGATGTGACGCTTTGCATGCGCTTAGAGTTGAATAATTCTATGGGTTTTTTGTTTTGAGTTTTTTGTTTTTTGTTTTGTTTTGTTTCATTTTTGTTTTGTTTTGTTTTGAGACAGAGTCTTGCTCTATTACCCAGGCAGGAGTTCAGTGGCATGATCATGGCTCACTGCAGCCTTGACCTCCTGGCCTCAAGCAGTCCTCCCACCTCAGCCTCCCGAGTAGCTGGGACTCCAGGCATGAGCTACCACACCTGGCTAATTTTTATGTTTTTTGTAGAGATGGGGTTTCGCCATGTTTCTCAAGCTGGTCTTGAACTCCTAAGCTCAAGCAGTCTGCCCACCTCAGCCTCCTAAAGTTCTGAGATTACAGGCCTGAGCCATTGTGCCTGGCCTTATGGTATGTATTAACATGGAAAGTTCTGAGACAATTTTACAGTACAATGTGGCCATCTAAACTGTAGGCCCAAGTCATCTTTATTTCATGCAGTTTTTTAAGATTGTACCTTTAAATGTTTTTTTCCTAGTCTATTGTTTTGGTCAATATTTTGGTTCTCATCAGTGGCTGCAATTATGTGTATGTTGAGCCTTCTTTGCTTGTCTCTTTTATTTATCACTCTTTCCTAATACTTTTTAAAGCTTCTTTATTTTCATTTTAATGACGTCTTATTTTGTTACTGTTTGATTGCACCTGTTGTCTCTTGTATTCCTTTCAGCTTTGTCTTCCCTTCTGAAGTGACATTTTTTTCCTATTTCTTTCCTGTACTCTGCTGATTTTTATTGTCTCATCATCTGAGTTCTCATATTGCTGCTTTTGTTCTTCCTTCCTAGAAACTGTCTTCAATTGGTTTAAATTTATGGAAAAAAACATTTTGTTACCATTTTCTTCTGTACCATGGTTACTTTTTATGCATTTTCTTTTTCTGTTAATAAATATTGCTTCCCTCCTCCTTCCCCTAGGTTTTTTTTTCTTATGATATCTTTGAGTTGATTCTGGGCTACTTTTTTTTTTTTCTTACTTGTTATAGAATGAGATGAATTTCTCTGGAGCAGATATTTACACATGTGTAGGGTGGGGATGAGAGGGTAGGCAAAGGAGAGGACCCAGAACAGTCTCTGGACTAAAGAAGTTTCCCATTCCAGAGACTCTTTACATCTCTGTGACTGCTAACTCCTTACATGGTTTCTCTGGATGATTCTTTGTGTAGCTCTGCCTACATTTTCTGAATCAAGCCAGATGCCAAATGGTTTCTAAGACCAGCTCTTCTCATCCAAGTTCTCACACCCGTTTTTGCAAGCAAGAAATACGGTTTCTGTACTTTAACATCGCTCCTTAATTTTAAGACATGTGCTTTTGCCGGTGCTTTACTTAAGGTGCTGATGTTGAGCCCTCTTGCCAGTTTCATGGTTATTATCACTTTCTCCTTCACAGCTTTCGCCTGATCTCAGCTGGTTTAGGTGGCTTTCACCTGTATTTTGCCAACTGTTGATTGGATGTGTTTCCAAAGATTACTGAAGATAGATTTTACCTTCTTTGCTTTCATCTTACATTAGGTTTTTGGTGACTTCCAGGAGAAGAGAAAAAACATTGAACTGACTTTTGCAGACATCTTATGAACTTTTTTTTTTTACTGTGTCCCTAATCATTTGAAAAGAAGAGAAAAATGTGTCTGTGGTTACTTTCTACTAATTCTATAAAAGTTACATTTCATCTAAATCAGTAGGCCCCACTTTTTGACTCCTGTTGTCAAAAGCAGAAAGGAGAAAGAACAAAGATGATTTAACATTTCATTGTTTGCAATGTGCTTTTATATTCATTTTAGTGAATGATATTCAGTCATCTCTATGAAGTCACAGGTATGTATTATTATTCCCATTTCACAGATGAGGAAAATGTAATACCACTAATTCTACTATGCACTGTGGTGACAATATCATAGAGAGGCCTCATCGGCTAGATCATGATATTCCACAGCTCTATTAGACCATTTTCCACATGAACTGACACAGGTATTTTTAGATGAACAATGGCAGAGACTTTTTCTTCAAATGCTTCAACTTCCTTGGGGAACTTGATTTTAGATATGCTCAGTAGACCTGAAGGTTTCCAAGGAATTGCCTTGGCATTCTGGGGGGACACAGAGGGTCTGCTCCCTATTGATCCATGTTATACATGATTAGGTTTCCCTGTGAGAGTTTATCCACCACAGCAGTTCTTTAGCCAAAAAATAAATAAATACTAAAAAGACTGCTTACCTCCAGAATAAGAGAAACCCATATCTATATCATCTTTGTGCTAATTCCAGGAAAATCACATTTCCTTATGAGTTACCTAATGTTTTTATTTGTGCAATGGTCAAACAAAGGTGAGAGAGAGTTTGGTTTATAATTCATCAATGAGTGCCTTTGACTTCCCTAAATCTGAGTGTTCAAGCTTGAGTTACATGAGAGAAGGAGGGGATGGGTGTCGGGCTTTTGGGGTGACAGCATGCATGAGGACAATACATGTATGGATACACATATAGTACAGAGTGACTGCAGTGTCCTGTGAAGCAGGTGCACTTCCTTGCCTTACTCCATCTTCAGGAACTAGAGGAGCTATTTTTGTTATCAATCAGCTGTGATTTATATATAAATATGTGTGTGTGTATTATGTATCCATATTTGCCTTATTGAGGTAGGAGACTGGCAGGACTTATTTTCCTGTCCAGAGAGGATGAAGTGAAGAAGTTGGCCATAACCAGCAAATGATGCCAAAAGCATCCTCCAGTTGGCTTCACTGCTCATAAGCATAAGATATTCCCAGTAGCACCATGACAGTTTACAAATGCCATGGCAACAACCTGGAAGTTACTGCCACCTTTCTAGAGATTTTTGAATAACCAGTCCCTTAATTTGCATGTAATTAAAGGTAGATATAAATACAGCTAGACAATAGCATACAAGTGCTGACTTTTCGGTGCACTGGCTATGAAGTCGACCTGCTCTGCAAAGAGCAGCTCTGGTTTAATGAAAGCTGCTGTCTAAGGGGCTAATATCCAGAATCTACAGAGAACTCAAACAAATTTACAAGAAAAAACAACCCCATCAAAAAGTGGGCAAAGGATATGAACAGACATTCTCAAAAGAAGACATTTAGGCAGCCAACAGACACATGAAAAAATGCTCATCATCACTGGCCATCAGAGAAATGCAAATCAAAACCACAATGAGATACCATCTCACACCAGTTAGAATGGCGATCATTAAAAAGTCAGGAAACAACAGGTGCTGGAGAGGATGTGGAGAAACAGGAACACTTTTACACTGTTGGTGGGAGTGTAAACTAGTTCAACCATTGTGGAAGACAGTGTGCCAATTCCTCAAGGATCTAGAACTAGAAATACCATTTGACCCAGCAATCCCATTACTGGGCATATACCTAAAGGATTATAAATCATGCTGCTATAAAGACACACGCACACGTATGTTTATTGCGACACTATTCACAGTAGCAAGGACTTGGAACCAACCCAAATGTCCATCAATGATAGACTGGATTAAGAAAATGTGGCAGATATACACCATGGACTACTATGCAGCCATAAAAAAGGATGAGTTCATGTCCTTTGTAGGGACATGGATGAAGCTGGAAACCATCATGCTCAGCAAACTATCGCAAGGACAGAAAACCAAACACTGCATGTTCTCACTCATAGGTGGGAATTGAACAATGAGAACACATGGACACAGGAAGGGGAACATCACACACTGGGGCCTGTCGTGGGGTGGGGGAAGCGGGGAGGGATAGCATTAGGAGATATACCTAGTGTAAATGACGAGTTAATGGGTGCAGCACACCAACATGGCACATGTATACATATGTAACAAACCTGCATGTTGTGCACATGTACCCTAGAACTTAAAGTATAATAAAAAATAAATAAAAAAAATAAAAATAAAGTTGCTGTCTAACACCACTGGCTCACTCTTGAATTCTTCCTTAGGCAAAGCCAAGAACCCTCCTGGGCTAAACCCCAATTCTGGGCTTGGCTGCCCACTTACGTCATTACAATGACTTTTTTTTTTCTGAGTATATACTTATTCATGAAAGTTTTATAGGGTGGTTTGAGAAGCATGGGAAAAGCCTTTTGCACACAGTAAAAGAGTACCTAGGAAGGAATACAAGCTCTCTTTTCTCATCCTTCTTCTTCTGCATTTTATCTTATATCCCTCTGAATTCTCTACCGCAAAGGTTGGTACATTACACCCACGGGCTATATCTGGCCTATCAGCTGTTTTTTTCAAATAAAGTTTTATTGGAACACAGCTATGGTTATGCTCTAGGAAAGCACTGATGTAATGCTAATCAACTTTTTCACTTGTATTTTCAATCTGCACTGATTTAATCCCACCCATAAATAGTGCTTTTGATGAACATTTAGTTTCCTGTCTTTTAACATTACAGTGTTTTCTCCATCCTAACGAAATTCTCCCTGATCTTACTGGAAAGCTATGGAGTCTTTCCTCCACTGTAAGCCCTGCATTATGATGACTTTTTGATGGTACTTTCTAATTTTACCTATTTCTACCTCTTTTATTTTTTCCTTCATAATCTCTCATAGCTCCCTTGACAGAAAAACTGAAGACAATGCAATTTTGAATCTGATGCATGGGAAAGAAAAAGTAAGAAACTTTTGAGAGGCTCAAAAATCAGAGCTTGTTTATCAATCTAAACGAGTCACAAGTTGGCCCTGTGCCAGACGAGGAAGTGTTCACTGTGCAGTATTTTTCCGTCATCTTCTGACATCTGAAGTTTATATCTGCCTTCTCTATAGCAGAACCTTCCTTGTGACACATCCATATGCTTCCTCTCCTCTCATCTCTGTCAAGGTTTATGTAGAAATCTTTATGAATTTAAAAACACGAATAACTAATGTGAACTTGAAATTGTCCATAAAGAACATTTAAAGACAAAGCCATTAACTTTAGCATAATCAGGTAAGGACAATCTTGTAAAAGCTAGTCTGGAATTTTCCTTAGTTGAGAAGGTCTAGACTCAAAGCCACTCTGGTTAATATCTCCTGTCTATTTGTCCCTTTCATGATATAATTACGGTTCTCTATCATCTTGCATTCCCTTAATTGTTCACAGGTAATAACTGACTCAGCTCAGATGTTCTCAATTTTGTTGTACCTCTCTGAAGTGCTCTGGAGAGACTGGGGGCAGATGGGAGGTGGAATTATATCACACTGGGTGTACATCAGAATTTCTGGAGTCAAGGAGATTGGTAGTTTGAAAAATTGACATTTTTCTGATGTGATGGGACGGACTCTTCCCTTACCATTCTTACCCCTGACTCTATGGCTAACCAAGTTTGGGTTGTTTTCTTATTCTCTCGATGTTTTATATTATATGCCAAAACAACAAACTGATTTTCACCAGATATTTAAATGTCATGAAAAGAGGAGAGGAAGAGGCTGCTCAAGATAAACATCTCAAAACTTTCAATGAGACAACAAGTGGGATATAGGATTTTATGTATATAACCCTATTTAATATACAGCCCTTTGAGCTAACTGGGAGACACGGACACCCTAGATATTGAGGCACTGTGATGATCATGAATTGACATGATACAATCTAAAGTTTTCAAGGCAAACACATTCCATTTATTAAATGATCCAATAATGTTTATGCAACCTGAACATGCTGTTTGTAACCACACCAATCCCTCATCTAACCTCAACTGAACAGGTCCACGGACTTGGCTAAGTCTCTCTCTCTCTCTACCCTCTTTCCCATCCTCCCTCTCTCTCCCTTCTCCTTCCCTCCCAGCCACCCCACCTCCACCCCTGCCTCAACCTTCTCCCCTTCTCCCAGTCCTTACTGTCATTCCTCCCTTCCTCTGTCTCTTCCTCCCTCTCTCCGTTTACTAAGTCCTTTCTTTCTCCTCATTTTGAAGTAAAATATAGAGAGACTGAGCCAAATGTTGGCTGACTCTCATTACTGGGGAAGCATTCATTTGAAGGTCCATGAACTTGAACTCACAGTTGCCGAGGTACTCAGTTACCTTGTTCCAAGGCTTGCTTTATCAGCTCCTCTTCTGTTTCAGTGAGCCCACTATGCTTCTAATAAACACATTCTTTGTGACGTAATTTGAGTAGGTTTAAGTTCCTAGCAATTAATATTTTCTATGACATGGTAGTCCCCCACCCTCAAGGAGCTTACAGTGAAAGTAAAAAATTAAATATAATCCTGGACCTAAATGTTTCTGTAACTACTTTATGTACTGGACTCAACTTCCTGGGGTATAAAAATGAAATGGTTTATTCCAATAACAGTCTCCTTTAATATCTATACTATTGGCCAGATTCTATACTTCAGCAGACACATGGTAGTTATTTGAAACTTCTCATTCCAGTATTTAAGATTCAGTCTGATTTATTTAAAATTGTTTAGTTTCACATCCAACTCAAAGCTTTTCTTCTCTCTTCTCCCTAGAGAAGGGTATAGGGGGATGATGTGGCTCTCAAACACTTTTCTCCCTTCCTCTTGAGGTCTTTTGCTCCTTCTCTGTGGGGAATTAGTGAGAGGGAAGAGACAGAAAAGGTTAAATAAGTGTTTGCTTCTCAGGGGTTGTGGATGCCACTGCTCCACCTAAGGCTGCCTGATTGTGGGTGTGCTCTGTGTGACTGGCACATTGTTGATGACCGATGTGTGGGGGCTGTGGTTAGGGGCTGTGTGTTCAGGTTGTATAAATGGGTGCTCACGTGTAGCACCCCTGCAAGTTCTTGAGGCGGGACCTGTGGGAACCTCACCACTACTCAGTTTCTAGACATAGGAGATGAGTTCTGACTTGACCAATTCCATCATCCTCCCTCCTTTGCATACTCACAACACAGGTGGATTGTCCCACAGCTTGCAGCTGCTTGTATCTTCTTGCTCTTCAATGGAATTCCAGCGAGTTGACCCAAGTCACAGCCCTCAGTGTCCACTTGAGCCATGGGAATTCCACAGCTTTATCATGCTAAGTAGTGGGAAGACAAGCTACTTTAATACTGCTCCTGCAATCGTCATTGGCATCTTTCTCTTTCCTCCACTCCAAGAGAGCCCCACAGAATTAGACACATTAAAGTTTCAGAACAGATAGCCCTGGACCCATCTGAGTGGAAATCCAGTTCAGAGGCTCATCGACTTTACAAGTGATTGTCTTGGAATCAGCCTCCCTTGGTTTCATGGAGAAAATCCTTCTTCCATCCTGAAAGAGGTGAGGTCAGGGAGTTCCCTGTCTTGAGAGGATGTAGTGTCTCATATAAAATTTCCTCGAATGTCTAAGTAGAGAACCAAAAGCTAAATAATTTTCCAGGAGAGGGACAGGAATGACAAAGTACCAAGGAGATGAGGGAGAACACAAGATATTTTTTTCCATAGCTAGGATCAAAAATCTCTCACCCTCCAAATCCTGGCATGCAGGTGGCACCATATCAATGTATATTGACATCAACTCTTCACCCCACAGGGAGATTTCCCGGATGATTGGGCTGGTTGTTCCATGTTTACTAAAATGTTCATTCATATACTTTACTATGATCACAAATATTCCTGATGATATTTTTGTGGCCACCTTCTGTGGTGGGCTGCATTTTACCTCCCCCACACACCCAAAAGATGTCCACCTTCTAATGCAAGAAACTTGTTAATATCAGGTTGGTGCAAACATTATTGTGGTTTTTGCCATTGCTTTGGATGTAATCCAAAGTAATTTTTAGTAATTTTAGTAAATTATCCCCTTCTCCTATCCTATAGGATAGGGAGAAGAAGAGCTTTGAGTTGGATATGAAACTAAAATTTAGTAAAATTTTTAGTAATCCAAAGTTTTTGCCAATGGCAAAAACCACAATAACATTTCCACCGACCTAATAGATACCTTAGATAGTAAAAGGGACTTCATGGATGTGATTAAATTAAAGATGCTGAAATGGAGAGGTTTTCCTGGATGATCCAAGTGCAGTCCATGTGATCCCAAGGATCCTTTTAAGAGGGATATGGGAGGATAAAGATGAAAGAAGACAATGTGACTGTGGAAGCAAAAGTTAGAGTGATGCCCCCAAGTATTAGTCCGTTTTCATGCTGCTAATAAATACATACCTGAGACTTGGGTAATTTATAAAGAAAAAAGATTTAATGGACTCACAGTTCCACATGGCTGGGGAGGCCTCACAATCATGGCAGGAGACAAAAGTCACGTCTTACATGGCAGCAGACAAGAGAGAATGAGAACCAAACGAAAGGGGCTTGGTGAATCTTATTCACTACCACAAGAACAGTATGGGGGAAACTGCCCCCCCCACCCCCCGCCCCACTTCAATTACCTCCTTGATGGGAATTATCTACCTTGATGGGAATTACCTCCCACCTGGTCCCTCCCACAACATGTGGGAATTAGGGGAGCTACAATTCAAGATTAGATTGGGGTGGGGACACAGCCAAACCATAGCACCCCATGAGCTGAGGAATATCAGCAGCCTCTACAAGCTGGAAAAGGCAAGGAATGTTTTCTCCATTGGAGCCTCCAGAAGGAACACAGGCCAGACAATAGTGTGAACTTAGCCCCCTGAGAGTGATTTTGGACTTTTGACCTTCAGAACTGTAGGATCATAAACTTGTATTGCTCTAAACCACTAAGTTTGTGGTTACTTGTCACAGCAGCAAAAGGAAGCAAATACACTTATCCTATTTCTTGACTGCCTGTGATGCCCCCTTCACGTTCCCAGAGTTTCTTGTCCCTTCTTCTCTTCCTTCATTTCAGAGGTCAGTTCTACCTAAGCTTGCTTTCTTCCTGTCTCAAAGAGTTCCACCTTGTGATCTTATCAATGTGTGACTTTAAATTCTGCAGTTTTACCCTACATTTCACAGTTTCCACATGCTGCATGGTACTAGTTGTGCCTGCCTGCGGTCTTCACCTGGAATCACAATCTATTGGCTGGGCTCAATCTCATGGTTTGGTGTTAGACAAAATTGAAGGAGGGGTTTTGTTGTTGTTTGGGTGTTTTTTTTAATCCTTGAGTTTTCCACTTTGTAAAACACTTTGTACAGTGTCTCTCTTGCAATGAAAATTAGACATGCATCTCTTTTCATTCAGCACTTCCCTGCCTCTCTTCGCATCATCAGCAATAATAAGGAAGAGGAAAGGTGCGTCTTTGTTGTGAAATAAAAGATCTGAAAATGCTACTATGAGTGTATAAAACCTGCCCCAGCCCTTTCATTCAGAATCCAGTCATCTGAGTCAAAGGGTAAAGAGCTTCAGCATCAAACTATCAGACGACTCAGTGGAGAAAATATCTAACCCTGTCAGAAATTGAAAGTTAAGGCCAAATTACACTTAAATTCTTTGCTATGCTTGTCTTTTGTGTTATTAAGATTTAGAAATTACCTTAGGTGGAATTTCTGAAGGCTTCATGCCCTTTGTTTTTCTCTTGTAATTAAAAAAATAAAGGACAGATTTTAGAGTTGATGGGAATCAGTGTTCTAGCCAGTGAAGGAGCTGCCTCTATAATATCCTCCACAGATCTCATCAGTGTCTTCTTAAATGTCTCCAGTGAGCATGGACTCATTATTAGCTAAAGTTCCCTTTTCAAGAGAGTGCAAGTGAAACTGTAATGTTCTTCCCCACTTAAACTAAAATTCTATATCACAATGACACATTTTTCTCAATTATTCTAAGGAAATTGTGTGTGTGTATATTTGTATATGTATATACACATGGTTTTCTTTTGTGTATTTAATTAGACACTGGATCAAAGACATACAAATAAGTACTTTGAAAATGCACTCTGATTTCTAAAGTAACCCAGATGCCTGCTGATACCTCCTGCCCTTCATAAATGTGGTTGAACTTGGCTTAAATCCCAAACCCACAACCTGTGACAGTTCAGAGAACTTGCACAACTTTTCTGGCATCCTTGATTGAATTCTCTATTTTTTTTTTTTTTAGAAAAAGCAAAAGCAAACAAACAAACAAAAAAACAGGGTCTTGCTCTGTCACCCAGGCTAGGGTGCAATGACATGATCACAGCTCACTGCAGCCTCAACCTCCTGAGATCAAGTGACGTTCCCACCTCAGCCTCCCAAGTGGCTGGGACTACAGGTGCATGCCACCATACCTAGCTAATTTTTGTATTTTTTTTTTTTTTTAGAGACAGGGTATTGCTATGTTGCCCAGGCTGGTCCCAAACTCCTGGGCTGAAGCCATCCACCTTTCTTAGCCTCCCAAAATACTGGGATTACAGTCATGAACCACTGCACCTGGCCTAATTGAATTTTTAGTCATCTCTCAGCCCCCAGGTGTTTCTACCCTTTTAAATAGCGACACAAAGTATCCACCTGTTGTCCAAAAGACATGCACCCACTCCAGCTCTTCCATGTGCTTCATTCTTTACCTGCAGATTTGGGGGATCCACACATTGTCCAAAAGACATGCACCTGACCCAGCCTTTCCATGTGCTTCATTATTTGCCTGCAGATTTGCTGGATCAGGGAGATCTTTATAATACAGAACATAGCCAAGCACGGTGGCTCACACCTATAATTCCAGCACTTTGGGAGGCTGGGGTGGGCAGATCACTTGAGGTCAGGAGTTCAAGACCAGCCTGGCAAACATAGTAACATTGTCCACACACACACAATGCTCTCCTTAAAAGGAACTCTGCTGGATACAGTTTGTTCCAGCTTTGGCACAGAGAAATAATGACTCAATCATGTATCTATCAATGTGGGGTGGAAATTGACCTTTTCATTTCCCCCCTCCTAATTGCTGTTGTAGGCAAAGTCATATCTCACGTCTCAGTGGTGAAGCCTGCTGAAGATGATCCACACTGGTGCAGAGCACTGGATGGGGAATTGGAAGTCCTGGCACCATTCGACTTGACATGCTTTTCTCCTTGATCATATAGACTCTCTGAGTCTCAGGACTTCAGAGTTTTGGGGATGATGAAATTCTGCCTTGTGTGTGGAACTAATTTGAAAAGTGCACAGTTCCATACAGGTGTATGTTATGATTATGCTTGTGATGTTCATTTAAAGCAACAAACAGACCATGTGTAACTGAACACAGTTGTGGAGAGAAGTCTCAGACTGCTCTCGATAAGCTTCCCAGATTTAGCAACATCTTGGCTGCCTGTGCGGCCAGGAAACTCTATAAAGATCTGTTTGCTGGGGAGAGAGACTAAGGACTTCCTTCTCTCTTTAAGGCTCAAATTAGTGAGAGTGTCCTTTCTGGGTGTTTTTTTAACAAGTCCACCTCCAGTCCAGATGGCATAAGGAAGCACAGTGGCAGGACAAAATAACAAACAACAGCAATTACACTTTTAAAAATATTCGTTATTTTTGTATGCAATTCAGGAGACTGGGAAATGTTTGAGGACAACTTCAAGGATAAACAAGATCAGCGAAATACAGGATATCAGTGATTCAGAGGCAGGGAAGAGTGAAGTGACATTTATTTACGCAGGGCCGGGATAAACAGTTTTATTTTTGAGTCACTTCCCCAACACTCTTCAGCTTACAGCCACAGGAGGAAGGTGAGGGGATGGCAGCAGCTGGGTGGGCACCCACCGAGTCTGGAGCAATGCCAGGCTCAGGGGAGCCACTAGAATGGGCGGAAACAGTGACAGCAGCTCACACGGAGAGTCCAGGATGCAGTGATTCATTTTTGCTCCCAATTCTTTCTGCACACATTTATTAGCCATACAAGCATCCTGGTAGCCACCATCCTCTCTCCTTCTTCCTAAGGTCATCAGAGGCCTCCTAGTTGCCAAACACAACAGTTATGTGTGTGTGTGTGTGTGTGTGTGTTTAACTCGTATGTTAGTTTCGGGAGTAAAGGTGAAGGTTTATTATATAGGCAAACTCGTGTCATGGGGGTTTGCTTTACAGATTATTCCATCACCAGGTATTAAGCCCAGTGCTCTGTAGTTACCTTTTCTGCTCCTCTCCGTCCTCCCACCCTCCCCACCCTCAAGTAGACCCCAGTGTCTATTGTTCCCTTCTTTGTGTTCATGAGTTCTCATCATTTAGGTCCCACTTGTAAGCGAGAATATATGGTATTTGGTTTTCTGTTCCTGCATTAGTCTGCTGTGGATGGTGGCCTCCAGCTCCATCCATGTCCCTGCAAAAGACGTAATCTCATTCTTTTTTATGGCTGCGTAGTATTTCATGGTGCATCTGTACCACATTTTCTTTATTCAGTCTGTCATTGATAGGCATTTAGGTTGATTCCATGTCTTTGCTATTGTGAGTAGTGCTGCGGTGCACATTCACGTGCATGTGTCTTTCTGGTAGAAAGATTTCTATTCCCTATGGGTATATATCCAGTAATGGGATTTCTGGGTTGAATGGTGGTTCTGCTTTTAGCTCTTAGAGGAATCACCATACGGTTTTCACAAGAGTTGAACTAATTTACACTCCCATCAATAGCAAACACAGCAGTTTTACCTCCATTCTCACCTTCCCTCCCTTCTTCACAACACTGACCATCAAGACCGCAACTGCTTCGTGAGGTCCTCTTTTCCACTTGGCTTCTAGGCCAGGCTGGCTTTTGTTCTCTGGAGCCTCTTACATTTTCTTTTGTGGCTCCTCATCGCAGACTCATACCACAATGTAGATGTTGTACAAAAAACTTTGCTGTGGTTCTTCTCCTTTTCTCTCTTGACCTTCACTTCCTGGGAACTTATTGAACTCACAGTTCTAGTTATCAGTTCGATTGCTTTCAAACACTAGAGCTTCATCCCTAATTTCTCTCCTGACTGGCCAGTTTCAACTCTCTGCTGACATCTATAACTGCATGTCTTAACATCTCCAACTCACTATTTTTAAAAATTAAACTCATCCTCTCCTTCCCAAGCCTCCTACCCCATGTTCTCCCCATATTCCTCAAATCCAGCCTCCCCCCACCCACTCCAACATCTGCCCACCTAAGATTAACACTTTTGTTTCATCTTTGATCTCTCTGTTATCTGCCTCAGTTCCCTGCCCTCCCTCCCTCTCCCCAACCGCATTGGCTAATGAGGTGCCAAGACGACAATTTTATCAGTTCAGATTCCTTAATTGTTTCCTATCGCTGTTTCCATTGCTACCATCCCCTATCAGGGTCACTAACTTTCTAATGCTTTTATTATGAAATATTTCAAACTTAAAGAAAAATATACATATAAATGTAAGAAATATCTGTGAAATGCCCAGATATTATAAATATTAATGTTTTACAATGTCACCAGAGATTCCTTTTTTAAAGAGACATAAAGTGTTCAAGATTATCCCATCTCTTCTATTATCTCTACTATACATCTCTTTCCTCTTCCCCAGAAGTAACCACCATTCTTAAATTAGAAAATTTCCTTCCCTGCTAATTTTATACCATTAACAAATATGGATATGTTAATAACATAGAAGATGATTGTGTGGATTTTTACCAATTTTATGAATTATATACTGCCCATAACCTTTAACTTGTTTTCTTAATCACTTAAATTATGCTTTTGAGATTAATCCATAATGATTCATTCATTTTAATTGATGTATCAGTTTCATTGAATGTTTATACCACAATTTAATCCTCTATGGATGATATTGCTATTGTTCCCAGTTTTACATTAATACAAGGTCACATTGAACAATGCAATTATTTGTATACTTGTTAATTTTTTTTGAAGTTGTATACCCAGAAGTGGAATTGCTGGGCATATGTTTCCTCAGCTTTACTGGAAATTACAAATGTTCCTCAACTTACATTTGGGTTATCACCTGATAAACCCATTTTAAGTTGAAAATAACATGTCAAAAATTCATTGAATACACCTAGTCTATCTTAAAAATGTTCAAAACACTCACATTAGCCTATAGTTGGCAAAATCATCTAATAGAAAGCCTATTTTAAAATAAAGTGTTGACTAGCTCGTGTAATTCATTGATTACTGACCTACAAGTGAAAAACAGAATGGTTATATGGGTACTTGACACATCATTTCTACTGAAGGCACATCACTTTTGCACCATTATAATGCCAAAAAATTTTAAGTCAAACCGTTATATGTTGGGGGCCGTCTATATTACCCAACTTCTCTCTAAAGAGTGCCACCACCAATGTATAAGAAAGCCTATTCTCCCATAGGCTCGTCAACACTTAATAATCAGGATTTTAAATTTCTACTGATTTAATGAATGCAAAACTATATCTGATTGCTGCTTCAAATTGCATTTATATGGATCCTGATAAGATTAAACAGCCTTTCATATATTGATTGAATATTTAGAGTTTTTTAACAAATCGCCTATAAATATTACTTGATTATTTTTTTCTATTTAGTTGTCTTGAGTTATACTCATGAATTTGTAGGATTTCTTGAACATTTCGAATGTTCAATATAATATTCTTTTGGTTGTATTTCGAATGTTCAATATAATATTCTTTTGGTTGTATACAAATACAGTCCTACAGTTGATCTCATGTTTTAAATGGCATACAATCTCTTTTGTTGCATGGAAAATATTTTTTAATGAGGTCAGATTTACAAACTTCATTTTTAGAGTTTTTTATTCTCGTTTAAGAATATTTCTCTATCTAAACATTTTTACTTTGTAAAACATGTTTACTTTGTAAACAATTTTTAATGTTTTCCCATTCTTTCAACACCACTTTATAATGCCACCTTTGTCACATGATATATATGGGTATGATAGGGGTTGATACCTCGTGATGGGCATCCTTCAGTTATATTTTATTCTTCAAGGTTTCCCTGCATATCCTTGGACCTTTTGGTTAACTCAGCTTTCTCTGATTATAAAATGTAAACCTTAAAATTATTTTGTAAATTTCCACAAGCAAACTGGTTGAAATTCTTACTGGTATTCCATTAAATTTATGCAGTATTTCAGGGATAATCAATATCAGTCTTCATATCTATGAGCATGAATATTTCTCCATTTATTAGGCCTTCTTTAATTTCTCACAATAATATTTTGTAGTTTTTAGTGTAGTAAAGTACAGTAATGTTTTTGATACCACTTGTTACATTAATTCCTATTTGATATTTTAGATTCTACTGTGAATAATACCACTTTTGTAAATTTTGTCATTGATACAAATACAACCAGTTATTGTATTTTAACCTCATATTGAATGACTTCTGTAGATTGGCTTATTAATTCCAACAGTTCTTCTGTAAACACCAAAATGTCCTCTGCAAATGACCTTTTTTTTTCCTCTTCTTTTCTAATACTTACGATATTTTTCTTGTCTTACTGTACTGGCTAAGATCTCCAGTATAATATTTAAATAAACTAATAGACTATATTTTTGATTTTTTTATTTCAGGAGAAAAGCTTTCAGTAACCCATACTTAAATATGAACTTCTTTACATGTTTTATTTGTAGTTACTCTTTATTTAATGAGAGATTTTCCTTTTATTCTTTGTTTACCAAGAATTTTAAAGTAGAGGCTAATCCCTGTCATGGCATTAAATGTAAAACATCTGAAACACAACACTGGAATATTAAATACAGGCAGATAAGGATAATACAATATTACCACATGAGTCTCATTTCAGCAGTGCGAAGTGGTTCATTGATAATTATTTCATTTAGTTGAAAATTAATTTAGTTGATTACCTTAACTGACAAAAGAAGAAAAATCATATGATCAGCCTGATGGATGAAGAAAAACCATTTGACAACTTCAGTAGTCAATCAGATAGACAGAAAGCACAGGACCCTTTTTCTTGCATCTGTAGTGGAAACCTCAGCCACAGACAGTAACTGTACTAGGTCTCTCAAATAGATATATTTGATTTTTTTGTCTGTTTCTTCTAAGAACTATAGAGACAATAAAAGTCTTACATTATAATTATGAATTTAATACTTGTCCTTTTAGTTATGTAATTTATTTTTAAAACTATGTTATTGGGTATTTATAGATGTAGAATTGTATTATATTCACTATGGATTAAAATCATAGTTATGAAATATTCATATTTATTTCCAATTAAGCCTTAATCATCTGTGACAATTATTAGTAAGGCTACACAAGCCATCCTTTAGTTAGTGTTTCTGTAGTTCATCTTTTTCCATTTTTTTCTTTACAACATTTCTGTGTTCTTTTATTTAAGAAGTGTTTCTTGTAAGCAGCTTATCATTGAATCTGGTTTTTGTAACCAATCTGTTAATTTCAGTCTTCAAATTGGATTATGTAGCCTGTGTGCACTTCATGTAATTACAATTTTGTTTGTGTTTAAAACTACAGTCTAAAATGTTCTCTATTTTCACCCCTTCCCATTTTATATTCTTCCTTTTTTTTTTCTCTTCTGTCTTCTTGACTAATAAAGGTCTTTATTATTCACTTTTTCCTTTTATTAGCTAGCAAGTTCTACGTTCTTTTCCTATTTCCATTAATGGCTACTTTATAACTTATAACATGGTATTTTACTTAAAAAATATTATGCAAATTACCTGACCACTTCCCAGTTAATGCTAGAGTTATTAATTAATTTAGTAGAGTCAGGGTTTGGCTATGCTGCCCGGGCTGGTCTTGAACTCTGGGCTTCAAGTGATCCTCCTGCCTCAGCTTCCCAAAGTTCTGGGATTATAAGTGTCAGCAACCCCACTCAGCCAATGCTAGAGTTTTAGAGCAAACCAACTTTATTTACTCTCTCACAACTTTGTATTATTATTATCACACAATTAAATCCCACACAGATTTTGAACACCCAACATTATCTATTGTTTTGTACAGTCAGTAATCATTTAAATTTACAAGCATCTTTTCCTTTCCATGGGTCTTCATATATTGTTACATTTCTCTCTGAGATTAATTTTCCTTCCACTGAACTCCTCCTACAGTTTACTTTAGTGTAGGTCAGCTAGTGAAAGTTCTCACGTTTGTTTAAAAATATGATCATTATTGAAAGAATGATATGGTTCTATAATAGACATTGGGAAGTGGGTGAAGGATAAGAAATTACTTAATAGATACAAGGTACACTATTTGGGTGATGGTTACCCTAAAGGCCCAGACTTCATCATCACACACTACATCCATGTAACAAAAATGCACTTGTACTCCTTAAATGTATAAAAATTTATAAAAATATCATATTTTCCTCCAGCTTCTATAGTGTGTGGTAAACTCAGCCAGTCTTGTACTTATTTTCTAAAGTTAATATGCCCCTTTTCTGCACAGCCATTTAAGATTTCTTTTAATCTTTCATTTTCAGCAGTTTAACTGATGTTCTTTGGTGTGGTTTTCCTTATATTTGTTCTGACTGAGGCTTCAGGAGCTTCTTGATTCTATGGGTTGATGTTTTTTATCAGCTCTGAAAAATACCTGGCTGTATCTTTAAATATTATTTCATCCTTATTCTCTCTTTTCTCTCTTTTGAGGACTTTATCCAATTTTAAAGAATGTTTACCATGCTTCACATATCTTACTTTCCTTGCCTTTTTCTTTTTGGACCTCAGTAGGTATATTTTTACTGACTTGTCTTTTAGTTTACTGATTTTATCCCTTATATATTTTTTTGGTGAAGTGGGGTTTTTCCCCCAAAAGCCTTTGCCTTTTTTAAAATTGAGTTGATTGTTTTCTTATTACTGAGTTTTGGGAATTCCTTTTTATGCTGGAAGGGAGATATTTATCACATGTGTGTTTTGCAATATTTTCTTCCCATTTCTGCCTTATCTTTTCATTCTCTAAAAGTGACATTTAAAGAACAGAACTCTTAATTTGATGAAAGTCACTTATAATTTTTTTCTTTATTTATTGTGTTGTGTTATACCTAAGGAATCATGGTCAACCCAAGGTCACAAAATTTCTACCTGTTCTTCTATAAGTTTTAAATTTACATTTTACATGTATGTTTATGATCTATTTTATAGCTAATTTTTGCATATGGTACAGGATAAGAACCAGGATTTACTTTTTTCCCATATGAATAGCCCATTATTTCAGCACCATTTATTACACTAAATATCTTTCCTCCATTGAATTGCCCTTTCCCCTTTGTTGAAAATCCACTGACTGTACATGTGTGATTCTATATCTGGACTTCGTATTCCACTGAACTATATATCTATCCTCTCATCAATCCCAGGCTATCTCTATATTTGTATCCTTATAGTTAGTCTTGAAATCAAGTATTTGGTATTTTATGATGTTTTTCTGCTATCAATTTTTAATTTAATTTGTTATGTTTTTGAAAATTACTTCACATGATTGCAATTCTTTTAAATGTGATTTTTCTTTTATGGCTCAGAATATCTTGGATATGTGCTTGAGAAGAATGGTTAGTCTGCTATTACTAAATGAAGTATTGTGTAAGTGTCAATTAGATAAAGTTGGTTTATAGTGTTATTCACATCTTCTATATCTTTGCTGACTTTCTGACTGCTCGTTTTATTACTGAAAGAGAAGCATAAATTTTGTTATGATTGCAATCTTGTCTATTTCTCTTATAATTCTGTAAGTTTTTGCTTTGTATATTTTGAAGCATTGTTAGTTGAATACATATTTTGGATCATTGTATCTTCTTGGTACCTTGACCCTTTATTATTAGATAATATTATTCTTTATCTCTCATATTCCTTGTTATGAAATAAACTCTGTCTGATAAACATATAGTCACTTTACTTATATTTTTATTTGAATGATTTGTTTTATAACATATTTTCTCTTTTTGTCTATCTGTGTCTTTATAGTGGGTTGCTTGTGAATAATATAAAGTTGGGTCATTTAATTTTTAATCCAATATGACAATCTCTGTCTTTTAATAATGTATTATACCATTTATATTTAATGCAGTTGTTGATCTTAATAAAAATATACCATTTTTCTAGTTTTCTACTTGTCTCATCTATTCTTTGGTTTTTTCTTCCTCTTTTTCTGCCTCCTAATATATTGAGTACTTTATGATTCCACTTTTATGTTCACTATTAACTTATTATTTATAGCTCTGTAAAAAAAAGACATTAGTCATTTCCTTAGAGGTCATAATATACATTTGTGATTAATCACAGCCTGTCTTCAAATAATATTATATAATTTCACATATCATGTAATGACTTCATAACCATGTACTCTTAATTGCTCATGTCCATCTTCTGTACTATGGTTGCTCTGGCAACCATACTACATAAGGCTTTTTTAAAGAAGTTCACTGCACACAATATACAGAATGCTAAAACACAATGAATTGCTACTTATTTGTTTTAAAGAAATAATTTGCTATTAGAGCAATTTAAATGAGAAAATAAATTTTATATATTCCTTTATTCTTGCCATTTCTAGCACTCTTCATAGATCATAGTTTCTGTCTAGTATTTTTTCTGATTGAAGAAATTTCTTTAACATTTCTTGAAACACAGATATTCTTGTTATAAATTTCGTGAGTGTTTTTTGTTTGAAGGCTTCTCAGTTTTTATTTGAAGATGTCTTTATTTTCCTCCTGTTATTGAAAGATATTTTCATTGCATATATACATTGGGATTGACAATTTCTTTTTAAATTTCAACACTTTAATGATCTCAGTCAGCTCTCACCTGTGTCAGAGTCTTTCCTACTGAGCCCATCAAAGACATTATTTCTGTTATCATTTTCTTATAGTTTTATTTCGTCTGCTGAAACTCCCTATTTAGTCACATATGTGGTGCATCTTTTTCACTATTAATCATATTAACACATGAATCATAGCTATTTTAAATTCCCTATGTGACTTCCTACATCTGGAGCATATTAGAGTGTGGTTTTGATTTTATTGACAGTGTGTATTTTCTTGCCTCTCAATGTTTCTCATAATTCTTTCTTGAATATCAGACATCTTGCATAAAACAACAGTCCTGATATAAATAGCATTTGCGCCTGCAAATTGGCACAACATCTTAATTTGGTAGATAATCAGTATGGGGATTGAGTCAGTGTAGCCATGACTTGACCTGGATTTTGGTTTTGTTTTTCTGTGGTTGCCTTGAGTGCACCCTAGAATTCAAATTCCTCCAGTGACACTTTGTGCTTAGGGTTGTGGCGGCACTGCTGGAATTTTTTTTGTTTATTTTTTTCTGTTATTTTACCACTCTCAGCTTTAGACTTTCCCTGTGACTTAAGCTCTCTAATGCATTCAGGAAAGTTTAAAATTTCATATACATTCCATCTTTTTATTGTAAGAGTGCTGAACATATTCTTTTTAGCTTTCTACACCTTAAGCAAAATCCCTGAATACTTGGTTTTTAAGTTTCTTTCAAACTACAATATTCTGATACAACATCAAGTACAAAAAATGTCGAGAAAAGATTGTCCAGAGCACTTCAAGAGAGATGGAAGAATGGATTGATGGACTGTATTTTTACAACTTTTTGTTGAGTGGCTGTAATTCTCATATGCCACCATGGTTTACAGAGATCTGACAAGAAAATTCAGCTGTTAACTAAAAGTGATAATAATGTCTAACGTGTATCAAGTGCTTAAAATGTGATAGGCACAAAGCTAGGTGTCTTACGTGTATCATCCCATTTAGCTTTCTTACCATCACTAGAGGATAGCAAGTGATATGATCTCTGCCTTCTACAAGAGGAAACTGAGGTTCAGAAAGTAGGAGACCTGCCCGAAGTCACAGAACCATTAAGTGTTCTATCAGGTTCCACAGGTCCTAGTCTTGACCGCGATGTTTTACTGTTTCCTTCTGGTGCTATCAGGTTAGTTTTTCTCTTGTGAAAGGTAAACTCATTTTTCTCTGTTCCTTTTGTATGATATTTTTTAAAGGAGCAAATGCTTAAGAGTTTGGCAAAGTATCATATCTATCACTGGTTTTGACTTTATTTTTCTGTTACAAAAGATTGATTAGTTGTCTACCATTTAAATCTTATATATTATTTCCTGTATGATATAAAGTTTGTGAAACTTTTGAGACTGGAGTACAGAAAAATTCTCTATTTTTATCTGAAACTATCATGGTTATCTTTCAGTTTTAGGAGAGTTTGTCTGCTCATAAATTCCATCAGTCTCTTGCTGCTATTTCTGTCCAGCAAATTATTTCCTTATTCACGAAGCAATAAAAGGTCACTGGAAAAAAGAATATAATATTCACTCTAATAAAATAAAGTTAAACAGTATTTAGCATTTATATCTTTCCAGTGTAGTAAACAAAATATGGTTTATTTGACTCAATGAAGACCTATGATACCAAAAACGATAAATCTAATGATTTGTTTGAACACAGGAAGATAAATCTTTCATAGCATGCCCTCAGTGATGACATGTTGCCATTGTCCTAGTTTTCTGTAAAATGAGATAGAAAGGCAAAGCAGACTGGGCTTCTTGTTCCAAAACATTCAGATCTCAGTCTAGGACTATGGTCTAAGGACATCAGCTGAATAAGTACAATACATGTTTTGTTTACTTGGTTTGCTTTTTAAAATGCTACTTATTGAAATAATATTGACATGATGTTTTATATTTGCAAGGGAGGCTAGAAGAAGCAAAGGCCAATTTTTCTTTTTAGTTTGCTTTAATTTCAGTGAGTATCTGAGAAAATGTAAAATTTCCTGACCTTTCTTTAGGCATGTCATGAGATAATTTTTTCCTTTTTTATAGGAAATCAGATCTGTGGTTAAAAAATTAAGCAAGTACATTATTAAAACTGAGTTGGAATTTAATATAAATGAAAATTTCTTATTTTTATAAAGTTTCAATGGATTTTGTTTATAAACCTAATGTCCACACAATTGGCTTAAGAAAATGGCTGTTTACAGCTTCCAATTCCTTTTGTTGCCGTAATTAAAATAATACAACTAAAACCATTAAGTTAGTGTCTTTTAAAAATCCAGCTGTAGAAGCGATGTGTTCCTCCTTGTGAACTACATGGCTCGACATCTTTTTATGCAGTCCTTTCTTGTGCGAAAACAGTGAGGAGAAAACTGGAAAAGAAACGCATGAGAAGCCTACGTTACAAACTGTAGAGGGGCCAGTTTCTGTACCCCTGTTTCTCAGTCTAGTCACTTCCAAGAAATTTCTATGCTTTTCCATATAGAAAAAGTCAATGTAGTTACCAAATGTGCCAATTTTCTCTAAAGTTATTTAGAAAAAAAGAAACTTCATCTAGTACCATGCCATTGCTTAGTCCTTTTTACAATTTCATTTTTACACATTTTGTTTCTCATTATCAAATAGAAATCTGTCTCATGCTGTTATAAGCCTTTTTATAAAAGCCTCCCTTCACTGAATAGCAGAATCTGGCCCTATGATCTCTCTAATTAAAACACTGCAACCTAGGGAAGCCATCAGTTAGTTCTCAGTAAATGGCACTTATTTTGATCGCCTTTTGTATGGCAAGAAAAATGGTGAAGATAACAGAAATGTCCTGATCCCTAAAATTAGATACAAACCTGCAAATATTCAACCTGCAGAATCCTTTGGGTCTACAGAAATGGCACCCAGTAATTTATTTTGACATAAATCAACTGGCTTTCGCTCTATAGCTCAGCTCTGCTCAGTTCATTTTTCAAAAGAACAGTTCAAGATTGTTCATGCCTTCTGGAATCCTACATCTATATTTTCTTTCTTAACAGATTCTCTGAAGTTTGAATCAAAGATCATACATCGTGATACAACTCCACTACTTAGTCGACTCATCATTCTGGCTACCATTTTGTGTGTGTGTGTGTGTGTGTGTGTGTGTGTGTGTGTGTGTGTGTGTGTTTCCCCTTCAACTAAGCCTTATTAAGATAATTTTAAGGGATTATAAAAATTTTTTTTTAATTTTTTATTTGTAATTTTTCTGGGTACATAGTAGTTATATATGTCCATGGGTACATGAGATGTTTTGTTGCTGGCAGGCAATATGCAAATATAATAAAACAAGCAGATCATGGAGAATTGGGTATCCATCCCTTTGAGCATTTATCCTTTGCATTACAAATAATTCAGTTAAACCCTTTTAGTTATTTTTAAATGTATGATTAGGTTCTCATTGACTATAATCACCCTCTTATTCTATCAAATAGTAGGTCTTATTCTTTCTATTTTTTAGTACCCATTAACCAAAGATTTTTTTTTTTTTTTTGCTTTAAATAGAAAAACCTTACGTTCTATTAGCAAAGGCATCGGTAATATCTTAATAGCTGTACAAACTAGTGTCTCTGTTTTTTTTCTATGTCCCAAGGATACCAATAAGGCCGTGAGTATTGGACACATTGACCTAATAATGGGTTGCTTGTTAAAAATTGCTTTTCCATGACGCAAGTTTACCTATGTGATAAACCTGCACTTGTACACCTGAACTTAAAAGTTTAAAAATTTGCTTCTAATGCACATTAGCATTAATAAAGAATATCAAGCAAATGGCATAATCCAATCATATTTAATAAGCATCTGTAAATATTAGGACCATTTGAGCATCTATAAATACAAGGTAATTAAGATGGACTTTCTCAAGAAATTTAGTTTCTGGTGTAAAGAGGCCAAGCAGATGTTCAGGGAGGGAATATGAGTTTGGATAGCTCAAATATACAATTCATGCCTGAATTTTTTAAATTTCATTTTTTGTTAAATTTTAGGTTTGAGGTACATGTGCCGGTTTATTACCTGGGTATAGTGCATGAAACTGAGGTTTGAAATACAAATGATCCTGTCATCCATGTACTAAACACAGTATCCAACAGTTAGTTTTTCAACCCTTGCCTCCCTCCCTCCTGCCTTCCCCCTTGTAGTAGTCCCCAGTGTTTATTTTTCCCATCTTTATGTCCACGAGTACCCAATGTTTAGCTCTTGTTTATAAGTAAGAACACGTGGTATTTGGTTTTCTGTTCCTGCATTGATTTGCTTAGGATAATGGCCTCTGCATCCATGTTGCTGCTAAGTCATGTCAGAATTTTGGCTAGACTATGTATAAAAGATATGTACTATATGTGTGAGAAAAATAGAGTAAGTCGCAATCATACTGGAAGTAGTCAATTCATAAAAGAAAAGTGGCCAGATTTACTTTATACAACAAAAGCATGAGTCCTAGTTCAGAAACTAATAATTTCGCTAATAATAAGGCACGGGATTTAGAGTTAGGAAGCTTAGATGTCGTTCCTAACTCTGCCAGTAAGTGCTGAGTGATCTTAATCAACCTGGTTGACCTTTCCAAACCTTTCTGTGGGTTGCTTATGCATAAAATGAGTGGTTGGTTCTTGTGACCTTCAACATCATGTCCAACTCCACAATCTAAGGAGAAGGGAAACTCAGAGAATCCTTTGGATAAGAATTGACCCTCCAACCAAAGGAAGAATGCTTTTCTACTTTCCAAGAAGCTTACAAAGACTGCCAAAATACAGAACTTCATTACAGAAAATCTTAACTCTGCAGATATCTGCAGAAACCACTGAAAATAATTTCAATTACCCCTTATGTGATCATTTTTAGCATAGGTTAGGAGCTGTTTCTGATGCACAACATACTAGAACTAACTAAGCAAGGCCTATGTTTTAATTTTAGGACACTGCATATTTGTGAAAAGAGCTCTGACTTTGGAATCAAATAGACATGGCCTTCCTACTTCTTAACCATGTGAATTTGAACGAGCACCTTAACCTCTCTAAATATGAATTTCCTTATGGAAAGGGGGTTTAATGATATCTATTTCATAGAGACACTAGGATCAAATGGAATAATGTATGTTGAGTCTAAGGCTATGCCTGGCGTTCAGTAGACAATAAATGGTAATTCCTCTTAAGAGAGTTAAAGACAATAGGCACTTTGTTTAGGCCACTAATCATTTAACATATTTTCTTATGGGTCAAGGTGAGTTCTATTGATAGAGATTGCTCAGATGAAGCAATGAAACACAGATGTACCTACTAAGAAAATAATAATATTTACAATAGCAGCAAAAACCAAAATACTTAGGAATCAATTTTACCAAGGAGGTGAAAGACTTGTACACTGAAAATTATGAAACACTGCTGAAAGAAATTTTTAAAAACACAAATAAATAGACATCCTGTGTTCTGGGATTGGAAGACTTAATCTTGTTAAGATATCCACATGGCCCAAAGCAATGTACAGATTCAATGCAATCTTTATCAAAATCCCAATGGCATATTTTACAGAAATAGGAAAGCGTTCCTAAAATTCATATGGAACCACAAAAGACCCTGAAAAGCCAAAGAGATCCTGACAAGGAACAACAAAGCTGGAGGCATCACACTTCCTGATTTTAAAATATATTACAAAGCTACAGTAATTAAAACACTATGGTACTGGCATAAAAACAGATACATAGACAAATGGAACAGAATGCAGAGCCCAGAAATAAACTGACACATGCACAGTCAACTGATCTTCAACAAAGTGCCAGAATACACAATGAGGGAAGAATGGTCTCTTCACAAAAAAATGGCACTGAAAACAGTGGGTATCCATATGTAAAAGAATGAAATTGGAACCTTATCCTACACCATATGCAAAATCAACTCAAAATGAATAAAAGTCTTAAACATAAGAACTGAAACAGTAAAACTTGTAGAAGAAACACAAGGGAAAAGCTTTATAACTTTGATCTCAACACTGACTGCTTGGATATGACATCAAAAACACTAGCAACGATAGCAAATAAAAGACAAGTGGGACTGTCCTGCAGTGGCTCATGCCTGTAATCCCAGCACTTTGGGAGGCCGAGGCAGGTGGATCACCTGAGGTTAGGAGTTCGAAACCAGCCTGGCCAACATGGTGAAACCCCATCTCTACTAAAAATACAAAAATTAGCTGGGCATGGTAGCTTGCACCTGTAACCCCAGCTACTTGTGAGGCTGAAGCAGGAGAATCGCTTGAACCCAGGAGGTGGAGGTTGTAGTGAGCCAAGATCATGCTCCTGCACTCCAGCCTGGCCAACAAGAGCAAAAATCCATCACAAAAAAAAAAAAAAAAAAAGAATAAAAAAGACAAGTGGGACTATATAAAACTAAAAAGCTTCTTTTTTATTTAAATAGGTAGCTATGTTTATTTTATTTTATTTTGTAAATTTTAAGTTCAGGGGTACATGTGCAGGTTTGTTACAGAGGTAAATTTGTGTCAAAAGAGTTTGTTGTACAGGTTATTTAATCACCCAGGTATTAAGTCTTATAGCAGAGGAAACACTTATCTGAGTGAAAAGGCAGCCTACTGAACGGGAAAAAATATTTGCAAGCCATGTATCTGATAAGGTGTTAGTATCTAAAATGTATAGGAAACTTCTACAACATAATAGCAAAAAAATTTTACTAGATTAAAAGGTGGGCAAAGGATTTAGACATTTCTCCAAAGAATATAAACAAATGGCCAACAGGCATATATAAACATGCTCAACATCACTAATCATTAGGGAAATGCAAATCAAAACCATAATGAGATATCAGTGCACACCTATTAGGATGACTGTTACTCAAAACACAAACAATAGTAAGCGTTGTTGAGGATTGGAAGAGGAGAAATTGGACTGGTGTGGAACACTGTTGGTGGAAATGCAAAACGGTGCAGCCACCATAGAAAACAGTATTGAAGTTCCTCAAAAAATTAAAAATAGAACTACCATATGATCCAGCAATTCCATTTCTGGGTATACATCCAAAAGAACTGAAAGGATATCAAAGGGATAACTGCATACCATATTTATTGCAGCATTATTCACAGTAGCCAAGATGTAGAAACAACCTAAATGTCTACCCACGGATGAATAGACAAGGAAAATGTGGTGTACACATACAATAGAATACTACTTGGCCTTCAAAAAGAAGGAAATTCTGCCATATGCAACAACATGGAGAAACCTGGAAGACGTTAGGCTTAGTGAAATAAGCCAGTCATGGAAGGACAAATACTGCATGATTCCACTTATATGAAGTATCTATAATAGTCATACTCGTAGAAACAGACAGTAGAATGGTGGGTTCCAGGAGCTGAGAAAATGGGAAAATGGAGTGTGGCTTCCAATGGGCACACAATTTCAGTTATGCAAGATGAATGAGTTCTGCAGATCTGCCATACAATGTAATGATTATAGTTAACATATTGTGTGGTGCACTTAAAAGTTTGTTAAGAGGGTAAATCTCATGTTAAGTGTTCTTATCACAGTTTTTTTTTTTTCTTTGAGACGGGGTCTCGCTGTGTCGCCCAGGCTGGAGTGCAGTGGCACGATCTCTGCTCACTGCAAGCTCCGCCTCCCGGGTTCACACCATTCTCCTGCCTCAGCTCCCGAGTAGCTGGGACTACAGGCGCCCACCACCATGCCCGGCTAATTTTTGGTATTTTTAGTAGAGACGGGGTTTCACCGTATTAGCCAGGATGGTCTCGATCTCTTAACCTCGTGATCCACCCGCCTCGGCCTCCCAAAGTGCTGGGATTACAGGCTTGAGCCCCCGCGCCCGGCCTATTATCACAGTTTTTTAAAACGGGAAAAAAAGAAGTGTATCCAGCCCTGTTTTCATATTCTACTAACCCATGACTGAATAAGAAAAAAATCCTTTACTAATCTATGATTTGACATAAATACCATAACCATCCACCCAAGCATCAGCCAGAAAACTCTACCTGGATGTCCCAGGCAGATTTTGCTTCAACTCTGTACTTGTCAAAGTCTCCATCTACTCAGGAGAGAGTAACTGTCAGTCCCATTGTAAAGAAGAGTATTGCTGTGTCTCAATGTGGTCTCATCAAATAATTTAGTGCCCCCTGAGAGGAAGCAAATCATAATACATGGCTTCTATGAACTGTTTGGGGTCAGCCAGGAAGGCCACTCATGAAACGCCAGTTTGGTTGCCGAATTCCATTTGTGGGTTCCCACAGATGTCTGTGAAAAGATGTTGAGGTCACTAAGACATAGTTTGCCTATAATGTTTCTATCAGGTGAACACAGTTATCATATGAATAATGGGTGTAATTTTTTTTATGCTTGATTAAATTTCAAAAGCCACTTCATTCATGCCTCGGAAAACACAGTTTGGAATAAGACCTGCCGGAATATGCCTATTAACCCTGCTAATGAACAAATACAGTTTTTATCACTTGCAGATGATACTCAGTGTGGCTTTGGGCTCATATTTCAGAGAATACCTCCACATGAAGCTCATCCTAGCAGAAGAAATGGTTCCTGACTGCTGACCTGAAGTAGTTTGCCAGGATGCGTGTACGCTGCAGCAGATGCCAGATTGGCCTCCGTCCCTCCTTGGGGGTTTTTCATAAAAGCAAATCCCTTATCTGAGAGACTAATCACTTGTGATATTTGACCATTCTTAGACATGGCAAGGGCATAGATAGCTTTGCCTTGCCTGCAGCCTCTCCTGCAGAGTCATCTGGTTTCTCTGTCTTATCCAGAGAGTGCTTCTATTAGGCAAAGACTGAAGTCTACCAAAAAGCTCCTTGCAATGTAGAGCTACACCATTGATCTTCGTGGAAGCATTTGGGATCATGATGTGATTGATAATGTGGGAAGGGTTCATTAAGAAAGATCAGGGTACACGTGAGTAAAAGAGAGCTTCAGAAGGGGTGAAAAATAAGAGTGTCTTAGGCCGTCTCAAGTGACTCTTTGCCCTCATTCAGATAAGATACTGATACCTCCATATTACCAATGAGGTTACTGCCTTCTCAAGAGGTGAGATGACTTTTCCTAGGTCACATACAAAATGAATAAATGGAAAAAATATACAGACCCTTGATTGTTACACTGTGACACAGGTGCTTGTTTATTTAAGCAACAAATATTTTCTCGAGCGCAGAATCCAACAGAAATGGTCATTATTATGAACATGATGGAATGGTTCTTTCCTTTAAAAACCTTATGGTATATGGAGAGTTTGAAACTGAGGACAAATTTCTGAAATACTAAACGACCCTCATTTGTTTTCTAAATGCTTTAGCCACTACATTTTAAAATCAATTTTGAACATAGGAAGCATGTTTAATATTCATGATTCTTATTTATTATAATATTTTAAGGACTGCATAAATTTCATGCCCTGTTCAATTAAGCTAATCTTCCTTTTCTGTAAGTTAAAGAAGTGCCTATTACTGAAGATGAAAAGCATCAGCAAAATGGCCACTAGCTTTCTGGGTGTGTTCACCATCCACATATTTTTGGATAAAGAGTAAAATATATAACTCACCGTGATTTAATGCTTAACACTAAGTCTTTATATCTTTGATTAATTAACATTCAATTCAACAAACATTTATCGAACACATATGGGCAAGGCATTCCTGAGAATACAAAAATGAATAAGATCTATTCTCACCTTATCACTGAATTGCAAAGGCAAAAATATCCTTAACAGAAGGTAAGATATAACAAGTGTCTAAGAAGGCACAAACAAAGTGCTTTGGGAACACAGGGGAAGGAAACTATTTTGTTCCCCCAGGGAGCCAGGGCAGTATTTATGGAAGAGTGGCAATTGAACTGAGCCTTGAAGCATAGCTAAATTTTTATTAGAGGTAGAAGAAGTATATTTCGAAGGAGGAGAACAGCATAAACAGAAAATCATGGGCAAGGTAGTCTGGTTACTGGAGTGAAGATTAGTAGAACAAGACTAATGAGAGATAAAACCAGGAAACTATATAATCGCTGCCTGCAGAAATTCTCTTAGGAGTGTACTAAGGACTTTGACCTTTATAATATGAGCGGTGAGGAATCATTGAAAATTACTTAGCAATAGCAAAGGAGTGACATGATCAGAGCTGGGCCAGATGAACAACATTCTGCAGGAGTGTGGGATACAATGGAAGGAAAGGACCCTGGAACAGAGATTAAACGAGAGACGATAACCGAGCACTAAGAGATAAAAGGAGACTCAACAAGATTAAGGCCAACAGGAAAAGAAAGAAAAGGAATGTTGACAGTGTGAGTAGCCTCGTGGACCAAAGCTGCATTCATTCATGAATAATGCATACAGTCAGTCAGCAAATACTCATTGAGCAACTGCTAAGTGAGAGGCACTATAATAAGTGATGAACATACAACAGTAAAATGATAGGTAGTCTTTGCTTCTAAAAGCTTACAGTCTACACAAATATGTAATAACTTACTCAACATAAGTATGAATAATAAAGCTAAATATGGAAGAATGTCCCAGCAAGTGAGAGAAGCATGTGCAAAGGTCAGAGGTGAAACAGAATAAGCCCGGTATGTTTGAGAAACTACAGGTAGCTCAGCTTGGCTGAGGCATGGAGCGTTAAGGTAGAAGGTGGAAAGGAATAAGGTTGGAGATGACGGAACAGGAGTCAGATCGTGGCAGATCCTGTAAACCACCTCAAGAGTCTCTACTGGATACTGAGGCCAGAGGAGAGAGCAGAGAAATGACATGACCTAGTTGCACTTTAGAAAGATCCCAAAGTGGATGAGTGGTTAGAATTTTTTAAAAAGACAAGGAAGAAGAGTAGAAAGTTGGAAAGTCAATGATATTGAGAAAAGCATGGAATCCCAAATAATTTAGCAATTAAGTACTCAGGATTTTTTTTTTTTCCCACAAGATCTCGTTCTGTCACCCAGGCTGGAATGCAATGGCGCTATCTTGGCTAATTTTTGTATTTTTAGTAGAGACGCTGGTTCATCATGTTGGCCAGGCTGGTCTCGAAATCCTAGCCTCAAGTGATCTGCGCGCCTCAGCTTCCCAAAGTGCTGGGATTACAGGCCTGAGCCACTATGCCCGGCCAGCACTCAGGATTTTTGAGAGAGCAGTTTCAATGTAACCACTGAGAAAGAAGCCTGAATTTAAAGAAGCAAAGAATTTAACAAGAGAAAGGAAGATAGTTGGTGTCACATTTTTTAAGAAGTTAGAAAAACAAAGCTGTTGGTGGGGTGGGGAAGATGGATTAAATTGTTGTAAAAGAAGTAGCAGGATCTAGGAAAGGGTTTTTCTTTGTTCAGAGTTGAGAGACATGAAAATTTTATCACAAGAATGGGAGGAACTCAAAGAGATTAGAAATGCAAGGGAGGTGAAAGAAACACCGGACAGAGTGAGGAAAGGATGGGGTCATTGGGCAATCAAGACACCGAAACGTTGGTTCCTGAGCTAAACTATCCCTATCACGATGACCCATACTCATTTAGGGTAAATTCAACAAGTATAAAGTATTTTTTCAGAAAGTCATGATGTAAATAAAGAATTTGATGAGAAACCCATGACAAACAAGATTTGTTTGACCTCAGAGCTTGGTGTTAGATAGAAGCCAAAATATCTTTATAGGGCCTGTCTCCCACTTCAAAAAGAAAGTATCTTCAGCTGGGAGTATTTAATGTTCTGAGGAAAGAAAAAAATTCTATAGATGAGTTTTTTTTTTTTAAGTTGATGCAAATCATTAATGCTGCCTCCCATCCAAAAATGGCTCTTAAGGGTTAGATCATGGTTCCTGTTCTATTACATTTAATTGGACAGCAAGGTGTTCTTGCTGGGTTTTCTCTTTCTAACAGGATACAAAAGAGGCGTCATGCCAAGTAGAATAAGACAGTTAGCTGAGAGCCCAGCTGGAGGTTTGGACTATCTGGTCTAGCTGTCAGGGATTAAAAGTCCTGTCTTTGGACCAAGCAAGCACTCAACCCTTGAAAAGACCACAGTGTTTTGATGGAGACCCAACGACCATAATGTTAAAGAAGCCTTCCAACAGCCATATATGCTGGCTGAAGCATGGAGTATCAACATCACAGGATTTGCTGGGGACTTAGGAGTAGTTTGAAAAAAAACAAACCCACCATAATTTGTGTTCACTCATATTTGCCTCTCTTCTTTTAATCTCAACCATCAAGATCCATGATGAATCTAGGGACAAAGCAAAGTTTAGACTATTCAGAAAGCAGGCTGAAATAAAGGGGTTAAAATTTGACTCTTCCAAGACACACAAACTCCATTGGATAATCAAGCATTTTTTTTTTCTTTTTAAACAAACAAACAAAACAACTCCATCTGCCTCTGAGGAAACAGTGTGTAGGGAAAAAAAGGAATCAAGTTACTAATAAGCCCTATTTCATTGAATCTAAAGCCTAATTGATTGCAACACATATTCCAACTTAAAATATATTAAACCATGAAAAAAAGTGTCTTAGAACCAAAGAAGCACAGTATTCTGCCATGATAAGATTAAAAGTTGATGAAATTCAGTATCAGATTGCCTTGATGTTCTCTGTAAGGAAACTATGTTGTCAGCTGAGAACGGGTTGACCTTAGGATATAATGAAGGTTGAAGACAGCAAGAAGCGCTCAGAAAAGTCACTGATAAATATGATAAAAAATAAGAGAAAACTTGTTTTCACTGCAAGCTGCTCTTTCTCCTGATTTTGAGGTATTGGCCTCTACTCAAGTATGCAAGCTGGAAATCCGGGGTTGTCTCTGTTCTCCCTCTTCTCTCTTCCCACACCTTACCAATCACTATTAATTTCATTTCCTATGTATTTATCAAGTCATCTACTTTGTTCCCCCCATTGTGATTTCTTTTTATTAGGGGCTGATCATTTTTGGCTTAAAGTATTGGTGTAACGTCTTGGGGTAGCCAATCTGCAAGCTCGCCCCCAGCAATCCCTGCCTCCTGGTGTTTACCCTGGTGTGAGAACTTCCTACTCCCATATCTTATCAGGTTGGTTGACGTGACCAATGGAACGTGGCAGAAGTGATAGTATGTTACTTCCAAGGCCAGGTCATGGAAGACATCATAACTTCCATCTTGCACTTAGTCTCTCTCTCTCTCTCTCTCTCTCTGCAATCAGTTGACATGTCTTGAGGTTATGCTGGCAGCCCTATGCAGAGGCTCATGTCGTAAGGAACTGAGGCCACAGTGAAGATCCAGTGAGGAAGTAAGGCCTCTTGTCAACAGCCACACACATACAACGGGAAGTGGATCCTTTATTCCCAGTCAAGCCTTTGCATGATGTGGCCCTGCTAGCATCTTGATTACAGTCTCATGAGAGAACTCAAACAAGGCCATGCAACTAAGCTGCTCCTGAATTCCTGGACCACAGAAACGATGAGATAATAACCGTTTCTTGTTTTATGTCACTAAGTTTAGGGATAATTTGTTATACAATGATATAGTTTGGCTGTGTCCCCACCCAAATCTCATCTTGAATTGTAACTCCCATAATTCCCATGTGTTGTGGGAGGGACCCATTGGGAGATGATTGAATCTTTGGGAGTGGTTTCCCTCACACTGTTCTTATGGTAGTGAATAAGTCTCATGAGATCTGATGGTTTTGTAAGGTTTCCCTTTTCAATTGGTTCTCATTCTCTCTTGCCACCACCATGTAAGAAGTACATTTCGCCTTCCACCATGATTGTGAGGCCTCCCCAGCCATGTGGAACTGTGAGTCTGTTAAACCTCTTTTTCCTCCCAGTCTCAGGTATGTATTTATCAGCAGTGTGAAAATGGACTAATACATACAAGAGAAAACATAATATACTTCTTGAAATATCTTTCCATTGTACAGTCCTACAGCCCTGATTCTTCCCTATTATAAAATGAATGATATTTGTGATCTTGTTCAATGACCATTTTTCCTTCTAAGTTATCAACTGTCGGAGGTCAGAGGCCATGTGACCTTAAAAGTTACTTTACCCTTCAGTTTTTTATCGATAAAACAAAAGTTGCCATGAAGTTTAAATGCATATTAATAAAGCACATGAAATGATGCTAAAGACTAAAAAATACTCAGTGATTGCTAAAAGTTATTATTCTTTTCTCATTGTTATTGTCATTTTCAGAGGAACTTAGTAAACTTTTGTGGTAAGATTTGCATGACTACCTGTAGCTAGCTTTGTCTTTCCCTCTCAACTGCCTTTTCACACCACTACAATGATTAGTTATCTTAGGTGAAAATTTCATATTCGTTCTTTTAAAACCAAGTAGTTTTAAAAGAATTCAAAACTCATACCTATGGTGTTTCTCATCATCCTACCTCTTTTGGCATTATTTATTGTTATTACAATTATACATATATATATTTCATATATATATATTTTTTTCTTTCTTGTCTCTGTCTTAGAACTATGTAAAGGAAAAACAAACAGTAAGCTGATTGATGACAAAAAAGAGAAGGAAAAATACACAGAATCAGTCTTTGATAATTCAAAGATGAACAGGTTGTCGCTTATTTTAACCTAAAATGATATTTTTTAATCCAGTGGTCTACATCTGCTTTGTTAAAAATAGTAGCCACTAGACATGTGTGCTAGTTAAATTTAAATTATTTAAAATTAAAACCATTAGTTTCTCAGTTGTGCTAGCTACATTCTAAGTGCTCAGTAGCTTTGCGGCTGCTGTGCACAATTATAGAACATGATAGCATTTTAGATCATTTCAATCATCACAGAAATTTCAACTTGAAATGCTTGTCTATAGTAAATATGGATCTGGGATTCTTCCATGTGGTAAATTTTTGTTCCGTTTTCCCTCTCCCCTGACTTATAAGCTAGACTTTTAACTATTTTTGTTGTTTTTATTGTGAAATATATCACACATGCAAAATACTATATATAACTTACATATACAGTTTGAAGAGTATTAACAAAGGGAATACCTATTACCTAGCTCAAAAAAAGTGTTGCTAATACCTTTAGAATATCTTATGTGACCTTCCATAATCATATTCCCTTTCTTTATCCTCAAATTAAACACTAAGAGTACTAATAGTTCTCGTTATAATTTTTTTCCTATGTATACACCTGTAATCAAAGTATTTACTAGTTTTACCCATTTCTAAACTCTAAAAAATGTTTAAACTTCTGTGAATTTCTCCTTTTCTTAACATAAGATCCATGAATGATGAGGATATCTGTAGTTTATTTCACTTTTGCGTAGTATTTCTTGGTTTGGATATTCCACGGTCTATTTACCCAGACTCCTGTTATTGAGCCTTGTGGGTTTTGTTTTGCTTTGCTTTACTATTACAAACCATGCTGTCATGAAATGTTGGGATACATTTCTCCAGTAATCTCTTCCATGGCCAAACATCTAGGTACTAATGGCAATTTGCTCTAGTCCTATCTTTTTAGAAAAATTTGTGTAAGCAAACAGCCCTGCAAAGATTTGTAGGGAGTGAGTGCGAAATCAAGAGTTGAGGCTGTATAAGGTAAAACATCTAATATTTGATGAAAATTTCAGAACTTACTAATACAAGCATATACAACCCAAATTAGGGTTGTCTAGTTCAAAGTAATCATCTTGGGAATTCTTTCATTTATTCCAATGATGGTGGCATTTCAGAATAGCTTTGGGACTCCTTTTTTAGAGACTGCTATCAAAACCTGTAGAACATTTTTTCTTAATATCCTCTGGAGCAGTAAATCTCTGGTCCATGAGGGTGAATTTGATTTTTAGAAACAGCCGAAAAATTATTTAGTACTGGGTCCATTGAAAATGGTGGTTGATCAAACCAGGGAATTATTGTTTAGTTCTAAATTGAGTATGACCATAATTTAATAGCTGGTTTTCTTTTGGGATGTCTACACTGGCTTGTGCATATTTTGGCACATGTGATCAATGTGTATTTATTGATGATAGACCGTCTTATAGCATGACCAGTGACGCTGGCCAGAGTGAGCCAAAAATCACACACCATAAATCTGAATGAGTAATGGTGCAGAGACAGAGGGCATCCACATGCTTTCTAATATATCTTGCCCCTTTGTTTATCCACTGGAGCTCGGTGTAACCCTACCGAGGATAGTTCTTGTCAGTGGTGCCGACTTTGAATGACAAAGTCTTCACATAACCTTCAAGCAAAGCCTCAGTTCAAGCCTATCATGGGCAGTCCAGGGAATCCCCTGGCAGCAATAAATGTCTCATATTCATTTTTCACCGGATAACAGTGTGGCTCTTGGTCCTGGAAGACACAGTTATATCACATTTTAAATGCTCCCAATTCCCTTTCTTTCTGGCTTCTCTTTAAGAACAAAAATCATGTGTTCTTTCATCATTTATTTTTTTCATCCATTTATGTTCTTTTTGTTTCTTTTTCTGTTCAAACCTCCTAGGTAATTGTTCTGTAAATAATCTTAAGTGATTCTTATGTCCACTTTCACATGATTTTTCATGGAGTTTTCATTTAACAAACACATTTGGCTTTTGTTACACGTGTTAATAATTTTGCATTTTACCATTAAAGTGTGACTTTAGCAATTAAAATATTTTTACTTCTCTATTTTAAGAGAAAAACTAGATTTTTATGACAATAAATTTCTGATATGAAAACCGTTAAGAAATATGATTATCTGACTTTCTGTACCACATAAATCATCTGTTTGTAGATAGCTGAATGATTATATTAGGCTTAACCATGTTAAGTTTCTATTTTTTCCATGAGAAGTCACAGAGGTTCTGAGCTGGATTAAGAAATATAAAATCAGGCCGGGTGTGGTGGCTCACACCTGTAATCCTAGCGCTTTGGGAGGCCAAGATGGCTGGATCACGAGGTCAGGGGATGAAGACCATCCTGGCTAACACAGTGAAACCCCGTCTCTGCTACAAATACAAAAAATTAGCCAGGCGTGGTGGCGGGCGCCTGTAGTCCCAGCTACTTGGGAGGCTGAGGCAGAAGAATCACTTGAACCCAGGAGGTGGAAGTTGCAGTGAGCTGAGATCGCCCCACTGCACTCCAGCCTGCGTGACAGAGCGAGACTCCGTCTCAAAAAAAGAAAAAAAAATGGAAATATAAAATTAAATATCCCAAAGCGACCATAATTTTATTTAGAATATAATTTTTAAAAGAAACTATAGTTTAATAGCTAAAATATTTTTATATTAGGTTATGTTTAATTCTCAAAACTCTTTTAAATTATTTAAATTTAAGGATTCCCACTATATAAAGTAGAAAACTGAGCAAAATTCACCTCCTAAGTTCCAGGGGGATTCCGATGCCAAACCAACTAGACTGTCTAAATACACACTTTTCAGTAATTTGCTTTGTAATTTTAAATAGTCTCTGTAATAAGCTGTGAAAGCAGAAGGGAGCGTCTAGGTACAAATCCAGTTTAGGAGGACTCACAAGAAGGTACTGAACTCCTAAGCCTGGGTTCGGGAGGGAATTCTTCCTCTTGACCCACAGCACATCCCCTCAGCAAGGGGAAAAGGAAATAGTGGAATGTAGGCGAGGAGAGAGGAATGCCACAGCCACCCTAGTAGCTGGGATTCCAGGCCTGTGCCAGCACACCCAGCTAATTTTTGTATTTTTGGTAGAGACGTGGTTTCGCCATGTTGTCCAGGCTGGTCTCGAACTCCTGACCTCAGGTGATCTCCCCGCCTCGGCCTCCCAAAGTGCTGAGACTGCAGCACGTTTTAAATATTTAAAACTAATACAATTTGTGGATGCTGGTCATACTCAGTCTTTTTGCTCCAAGTGTGTAGAAATGCCTGACTTGGATCAAGTCTGCCTCTCCATCACCTAATGGATTTAATACAAGACACAATGGTCTAATCTAAAATCCATTTTTTTTTCAAAATTTTGCATGTACAAATTAAAAAATTGAAAATGTATAGGCATTAGATGTTCTGAGAAAGACAGAAATGTTTATGCATATGAACACACACACACACACACCCACTCACAAATACAATTCCTAGTGTGCCTTACACCTGGCAAAAACAAAAAGTATTATAGATTTTCTTCAGTTTAACATTAAATAGTAACTCAGGAAGGAAAGAAACAAAAGATAAAAATGATTTTGAGACATTCTTCAATGATGAACTATTATAGAATAATGAAAAATAATTATGAAGCTGTATGAAAACATAAACATTATATTAAAATAAATACAGGATAAGTGTGGTGGTTTATACCTGTAATCCTAGCACTTTGGGAGGCCAAGGTGGGAAGATTGTTTGAAGCCAGGATTTTGAGACCAGCCGGGGCAACAAAGCAAAATCCTGTCTCTACAAAAAATTTTAAAATTAGCTAGGCACAGTTATGTGTGCCTGTAGTCCCCAGCTACTCAGGAGGCTGAAGCAGGAGGATCACTTGAGCCCCAGAATTTGAGGCTTCAGTGAGCTATGATTGTACCACAGCACTTCAGCCTGAGCAACAGGATAAGATCTCATCTCAAAAAAAAGTAAATATAAAATTTAGAAAGCCTCATAAATTTGAGTGAAATTCTGTAAAATATAGACACATATAGGCAAGGACTAGAAGGTGATATTAAAAAATAAATAAAAAGTTGGCCGGGCGCGGTGGCTCACGCCTGTAATCCCAGCACTTTGGGAGGCCGAGGCGGGCGGATCACGAGGTCAGGAGATCGAGACCATCCTGGCTAAAACGGTGAAACCCCGTCTCTACTAAAAATACAAAAAATTAGCCGGGCGTAGTGGCGGGCGCCTGTAGTCCCAGCTACTTGGGAGGCTGAGGCAGGAGAATGGCGTGAACCCGGGAGGCGGAGCTTGCAGTGAGCCGAGATCCCGCCACTGCACTCCAGCCTGGGCGACAGAGCGAGACTCCGTCTCAAAAAAAAAAAATAAAAATAAAAAATAAAATAAAATAAAAAGTTACAGAATGATTATACATGTTTATTATTTGACCCAGCAATCCTGTATTTAGGAATCTATCCCAAAGATACACAGGTAAAAATATAAAATGGCATATGTATGAGGACATTCACTGTGGTCTTACTATAATAGCAGAAGACTAGAATACAAACCTAACATTAAAAAAAAAGAGGACTTTTAAAATAAACTACGAGACATTCACAAATTAGAATACTATGTAGCTGTAAAGAGGAGGGGAGATGATTCTCTACATTATTATGAAGAGATCCCCAAAATGTATTGTTAAGTAAAAAAGCATGGTGCCATCATTCAACTCATACTTGCCCAAATTAGATGGTTATTTGGAGTTTTAGATATAATTTATGGAAAAAGTCATTTTCAGTATTTTGGGGAATTTTTTAAGAATCATCATAAGCTATTTAAAATGATTTTTAAGTGGGCCTTTATCATCTGTGCTACATTCTGTGCAATAATGATGCTCCACCACGATTATCTTAAAACATTATGTGAAGTGATAAAAAACAGTCATTGAAAATATACTTTTTGATTTGCATTTCTCTGATGGCCAGTGATGATGAGCATTTTTTCATGTGTCTGTTGGCTGCATAAATGTCTTCTTTTGAGAAGTGTCTGTTCATATGCTTTGCCCACTTTTTGATGGGGTTGTTTATTTTTTTCTTGTAAATTTGTTTGAGTTCTTTGTAGATTCTGGATATTAGCCCTTTGTCAGATGAGTAGATTGCAAAAATTTTCTCCCATTCTGTAGGTTGCCTGTTCACTCTGATGGTGGTTTCTTTTGCTGTGCAGAAGCTCTTTAGTTTAATTAGATCCCATTTGTCCATTTTGGCTTTTGTTGCCATTGCTTTTAGTGTTTTAGACATGAAGTCCTTGCCCATGCCTATGTCCTGAATGGTATTGCCTAGGTTTTCTTCTAGGGCTTTTATGGTTTTAGGTCTAACATTTAAGTCTTTAATCCATCTTGAATTAATTTTTGTATAAACCACAATGAGATATAATCTCACACCAGTTAGAATGGCGATCATTAAAAAGTCAGGAAACAACAGGTGCTGGAGAGGATGTGGAGAAATAGAAACACTTTTACACTGTCGGTGGGACTGTAAACTAGTTCAACCATTGTGGAAGACAGTGTGGCGATTCCTCAGGGATCTAGAACTAGAAATACCACTTGACCCAGCCATCCCATTACAGGGTATATACCCAAAGGATTATAAATCATGCTGCTATAAAGACACATGCACACGTATGTTTATTGTGGCACTACTCACAATAGCAAAGACTTGGAACTAACCCAAATGTCCAACAATGATAGACTGGATTAAGAAAATGTGGCACATATACAGCATGGAATACTATGCAGCCATAAATAATGATGAGCTTATGTCCTTTGTAGGGACATGGTTGAAGCTGGAAACTATTGCAAACTATTGCAAGGACAAAAAACCAAACGACGCATGTTCCCACTCATAGGTGGGAATTGAACAATGAGAACACACGGACACAGTAAGGGGAACATCACACACCGGGGCCTGTTGTGGGGTGGGGGAATGGGGGAGGGATAGCACTAGGAGATATACCTAATGTAAATGAGGGGTTAGTGGGTGCAGCACACCAACACGGCACATGTAGACATATGTAACAAACCTGCACATTGTGCACATGTATCCTAGAACTTAAAGTATAATAAATATATGTATATGTATATGTATATGTGTGTGTGTGTGTGTGTATATATATATTATATATATATATATATAGAAAAGTGTACTTTTTAAAAAACAATGGCCTGTAATCCTAGCACTTGGGGAGGCCAAGACAGAAGGATTGCTTGAGGCCAAGAGTTTGAGACCAGCCTGGGCAACATGGCTACAAAAAATTCTAAAATTAGCCAACCATGGTGGCATGTGTCTGCAGTCCCAGCTACTCAGGAGGCTGAGATGGGAGAATCACCTAAGCCTGGGAAGTCGAGGCTGCAGTCAGCCATGATAGTGCCACTGCACTCCAACCTGGGCAACTGAGCAAGACATTGTCTCTAAAAAGTAAAAATAAAATGAGCTAAAATCAAATACATTTTGAAATACTCAAAAGAGAGAACGAAAAAGGACAAAATAATAAACCAGGTTTATAATAAAGAGTATCAAACTGAACATTCCAAAAAATATCTGAAAACAATAGTAAATACAATGAGTATTTTTGAGACAATGAAATTCTTTTGAGCAACAGAAGTACTAGTTTTGAAGCCTATGACATTTCAGATGATTATGACTTAAAATTTCAGGGTTACAAGAGCTAGCACTTTGGGGTAAAAGATCCAAGTGAGTCTCTGGACAAAATCCGATTAAACCAAGTTCTAAATAGTGTTACCATGTAATCCCCTCCTATTGACTTGGCACCTAAATAATTTCCTTCCAGAACAAAACAAGCAATCTCCTTCCCACCCCCTAAAATTTTTTACTTGCCAACACATTTAATTTTCAGATATTCACATGATATAAGCAGAAAAGAAATCATTTAGAAGAATAGTAGGTAGTCCACAGAATAGCTAAGAAGACTGAAGATCCAAGCTTCTGGCTATGCAGCCAGGAACACTACCAAACATATTTGGTGAGGACATGGCTGCTGCACTCTCAATGCCCCTAGTGCTAAACACTCTATGCTTCCACTACCACCTCTACCATCTGCTATCCCTTACAAGGCTCCTATCTCAAAATAAATGACAGAGGCCTTCAATTAGAGGAGCCTAAGTCATGTACTTACAACTTAGCTACAAGGGAGGCTGGAAAAGGAAAGGTCCACATGTTTGACATCTATAGTAGGAGAAGGGCTCTCCCTCCTCCTGAGACTTGTAAGAGACGGATTTCAGATACTGGGTTTTAAAAAGGAATGGTAAGTACTCACTCCGAAAGGATTCAGGCCAGGACTGTGACAAGACATCCAGATACAGAGTCACAATAGCCTCTTATCAAAATGTATCATTTTATTTATTTCCTCCACTAATGTGAGCTCTTTGAGGGCATCTTCTATGTATTAACCACAAGTGTGTTATTAGTGCTTGGTACAGTCTGACATTCTCAACAAATGTTTGTTAAGTAAAGAGAGAAATGAACAACTTAGTGAATGAATAACATAATGGAGCACTTTTACTTCACAGTGGCAGTAGGCCTGGTGTGGCCTGATGATATCTAATTACTTATTCGTTAGAAGGATAGCAGGTAATTACCTATTAAAAGAAGGATTAATAGGCCTAGTGTGACCTGGTGTTAAACTAATTTCTCTGTTAAGTTTCCTCGCCCTGAGCAAAGAGTGAGCCTCAAAAATCCAAAGACATTTTGAAATATTTAATGGTAATCACTCTCTCTTCCGTGATGGGAGAAACTCTGGGATGTGGGCCCACAAATTTAGACATGGAAGGACAAGAATTAATAAGATAAGGGCCCCTCAAACAGGCAGCGTCTGGAAAACATACAGATCTTCTTTCATTTCTGGTAGAGACTGTTTCATGCTATTCCATCTGAAATGATCCATCCCAATTTGTGTCAGAGTTGGCTCTTTGATAAAAATTAATGATTGATCAAAAAATGATTCATTACACATTCAAACCAAGAATTCTGATTAGCATGTGACTGATTGGTTCCCCTTCTCTCCCAAAGAAAAGCCAGGACACATGAGTTAAAATTTTGGGGGCCACAGAAAGCAAACTACATGACTTGGCAAATTCATCTCAGAAAGTTTTCTGTATGTTATGATCAGATATTTTCGAGTATTTCACCATTCAAGATTAGAGAGACCAAAAGTCAATATTCAAGGGTGGCTTCAGGGTCATCTTAAAGGACCTTGAAAACAGGATCTGTTTGTTACTCACAGGTTTCACAGAGAGTATACATGATTCATTAGACAAGGTAATTTGCAAATTACATTGTTAAACCTTAGAATCTTAGAAATTAGTGAAGTGTTTCTAGTTTGAAGAAGTGTGTGTTTACTTTGATTTCTAGCTGTGGCCAAAATACACATTAAAATGTGTGCTGTTTAAAGAATACAACTACCTATATGGTCCATTCACCTTAAACTGTGAAAGTATTTAAGCACACAAAGACAACTTTGGCAAAATATTTTTTAGTCTTTAATTTTCAAACACACCCGCTCACCTACCCATTTAATTTCTCATAGCCCTTTGTAGTTAAGAAGCAGCGCAATCCTAAAATCTCAAAAACAAAGCAGAGAACAGTTTGTACTTTTAGTTCTATTCTATACTTGCTTAATTTTGTAGGGTAAATAATTGTTATTTGCCTCAAACTGAATTTGTATGACTGCATAATTTTCTTTATGAACACACACACACACACACACACACACACACACACACACACAAAGAAGTTTGGAGAAATATGTTACGTGGGATTTATCATTTGCTTAAAGAGTGTACTTCTGGTTTTGTCCTAGGAGAAAGGTTTAGGTTTGCCGCCTTAAAACTCTGACTCAGGCACTGACATAAGGTTTCTCTCAATGGTAGGAAAAGGGGAGGGGAAGCTGTGGATAGGGGTGAAACAGGCATCTAGTCAGTTATTAGGATGGAATTTAAAGAATAGGGACTCAGTGAAAGTGTGATTCAAAGATACTTTGTGTATGTCTTTTCTTTTCTCATCCACTTTCCCTTTTGCTGTAACTGAATTTTAGCCTTGGAGGGTTTTTCAAGCAATACCAAAAGACAGAGGAAGAGAGGAAGCGAATGCAGCAAGGAGTTGCAAAGGGTTTGCTGCAAAGAGGAATAGAGAAATGGGCATTTGCAATGAGGCATATAGAAGTATGGGATGGGTCTCTTTCTTAAAAGGAGGAAAGAGAGATTGTGGCAGTGTTGATGTCCTTGGGTAGGCAGAGGAGATAAGATCCAGAATACAAGTGGAAGTTTTGGTTTTAGGCAAGAGCATAGACAATTCTTCCATGGGAACAAGAGGTGAGGCTGGGTGGGAGCTTGTGGAAGCTCTCTTCAGATTATTGCTATTTTGGCAATGAGAGAAGAAGCGAGATTATTTGAAAAGTGGGAATTGCTAAGGGGGTGTTGAAAGTTTTACAAGAGATGATTAAATGTAAAATCAGCATAGAGGAAGACAAGAGAGATGCAAAGGAAAGTCATAGATCAGGAAATATGGCATTTCCAGGCAATATTTGAGGTTGGTCCAGTTAGCATGGCTGGGTATGTTTCTCCAGCTAGTTCCAGCAGCACAAGTACAACCCTTGAATAGTCCAAGTATAAGTTTAAACAGGTCCTGAGGTTTTACTAGCAAGGACCATGGGATCAGAGGAGAGAAGGAGGCCATGACAGCCGAAGGTGTAAACAGCAGAGTGTTAATAATGTATCACGGGATCCAGACCCACTAAGGAGGAAGGTGAATACCATAAAGGGTTGAGGGACATTAAGGGGTTAGTAGGGTCAATGAATTGTGGGACCCAGAGGGTTGAAGGATTAATAAATATAGGGTCCTGAAGAATGTGGACTGCAAAATTTTTAAGATTGTGGTAAAACAGTGAAATCCTTGAAACTACAATTATAGAAGCTATACATTTATTGCTAATGACAAAGTTTAGGATAGGACTGTGGTGGGTGGGGGGAATGATAAGGTCATTCACAGAAAGAAGATGAGGGCTCAGAGACATCAGGGTATCAGAAAGATCATCTGTGTATATACTGAAGTCACTATGAATTATTAAAGGGGTAGTGATAGAGAAAACAGCAGAGATCCAGAAGCTAAAATCCACGAGAAAGAAGAGGATAGAAAAGGAAGTCTGTAACTCGCTACACAAAGGAGGGTTGAATTTAGGAAATGAACTCAGGTTATGGCATGCGTTTGAAAATGGTGGGTATGAAAAAAGAAAAATGAAAATGGTGGGTATGAAGCATTAGGGAGGATGGAGAGAGAAAGGCTTGAGAAAAGTCAAGGAGGCCCAGGCGTACAAAGAATGTGAGAGAGAAAACAGCCGTCTTCTGAGGGACCAGAGAAACAGTGTCTGGGGCAATAGCCAGATTTCACTGAAGGTGAGAAGGTAAAGGGAACATTCAGAAACACAACTGAAGTCATATGGGATTTTGTGGGTGGTGACTGTGATTCCAGAGTATGCAGTGGAAGAGCTTTGAATATTAGGAAATGTATAGACATGTGGTCAGATTAGAGGGTATATTAGTCCATTCTCATGCTGCTAATAAAGACATACCAGAGACTGCATAATTTTTGACGGAAAGAAGTTTGATTGACTCACAGTTCTGCATGGCTGGGGAGGCCTCAGGAAACTTATAATCCTGGCAGAAGGGGAAGCAAACACATCCTTCTTCACATGGCAGCAGGAGAGAGAAGTGCAGAGCAAAGTAGGGGAATAGGCTCTTGTAAAACCATCAGATCTCATGAGAACTAACTCACTATCACGAGAATAGGATGGGGGAAACCACTCCCATGATTCAGTTACCACCTACTGGGTCCCTCCTATGACATGTGTGGATTATGGGAACTACAATTCAAGATGAGATTTCGGTAGGGACAGAGCCAAACCATACCAGAGGGTGTACAGAACCATACTGGGGATAAAGGTCCAAATAACAAGGAAAGATGTGGGAACCTTGAATCCCTTTTGTGACTGGAGTAAGTGGCTGAGGTGCATGATGGCAGTGGTTATGCACATGTTCTCTGGCGAGGACTTCAGAGCTAGAAGAGCAGAAGTGGCCTCTCTGATACCATGAAGGGCTCTATGACTCATGTGACTCCTTATGTCCAGGAGGCCAGGAGGAGCAGGAAGCTCTCTAGGTGACTCAGGCTGCTACCCACTCCCCACTACTCAAGAAACCTTAGAGTGTGTGATCTCTTTGAAGCAGACCAGGTATAGTATGTGTGCTATGGTAAACCCTAATAAAATGATTACAGTGGTGCCACTGGACTTGAAAGGAAAACATTAAGACTTCTTCAATGCATCGCTACCATCCTTTGGAGAAACAGTTCTTGCTCATGACTAGGCTCTGTTAGAAACGGAATTACTGCTCAAGAGATACCTGGTGTCTGTGTAAACTGAGCTGTGCTTCATGCAGTGGGAACTTCTCCATCTGCTGAGCGTTAAGTCGGGCATGCTTAGTGTTAAGAGTAAGTGGTATTTATGGGATCAGATCCTTGGGGACTCCGAAATGCAAATATATATTACTTATAACTTGCTACTTGTGATAGTTAATTTTATGTGTCTACTTAACTGGCCATGGAGTGCCCAGATTAAACATTATTCTGGGTGTGTTCGAGCAGCTGTTTCCAGATAAGCTTAGCATTTGAATTGGTAGAGTCAATGAAGTAAATCACCCTCGCCAATGTGGATGGGCACCAACCAATCTTGCTGAAAGCCTGAATAGAACAAAAGGCAGAGAAGGAATTTGATTCTTTTATTCCTGCTTCACTGCTTGAGCTGGGACATTTCATCTCATCTCATCTCTGGACTGGGCTTTATACCATCGGCTGCCCTCATTCACAGGCCTTTGGACTTGGACTGAATTATACCACTAGTTTTCCTAGGTTTCCAGCTTGCAGACAGCAGATCATAGGACTTCTCAGCCTCCATAATCACCAATTCTTCATAATAAATCTTCATATAAAATATATTTGGATTTATGTACATATATTCAAATCAATACATATATCAGCACATATTTTCAAACCAATGTTTTGGGCTCTCTGTGGCCATTGACAGTAAGAATACTGATAGAGTATGAAAAGATTTGATTTCTGTTCAGTGAAGTCTGTAAAATCTGGCTCTATCTACCCTGTAGTTGATGGAAATTCCTACCAGTCCCTAGAAAAGAGTTAAATGTTAGCCTTAATTCCATATTCTGTTGCTGTTTTTTTTTTTTCATTTTATATGCCTTCTCAGATGATTTAACAGAAACTTGAAAGAAGCTACAGTCAGTTCTCATTAGTCACACTAGTTATGTTCTATAAAGTCACCAAGAATACTGAATCAGTGAATACCGAGCCATTTTCCTAAGGGAAATACAGGATAGGTTCCCGTGAGCCTCTGGTCTTGACATATTCATCATGACCTTTTTATAAACTGATTGGTACATAACATTGGTTTATGTGTATCTCTGTTTAAAGACATTTCATTTAGTCTATGTTGTTGATTAGTTATCACTGAACTCACAGCCACCAGCACTATAACTAATGCCTGAAGGAAGCTTATCTAACACATATTTTTTCAGTAAAGCACTTCGCAGCCTTACTTGCACTTAGGAATGCTAGACAGTGCTTCAGCGCTCTGCTTGGTGGCCATTCTAAGCAGTAAAATCACCAACAAGAAGCACGGCACTAATAGACTGCAAAAGGTAACTTGTTCACAGAGCTAAAACAGGAAGGCGGAGCGTCGCCTTGTTAATCTCAGCTGGTAACGTGTGCATCTGACAACTCACATTTTCTGCTACCATGTAATGTCCGTGAATGACTGTGAAAGCACCACAACTGATGATTTGGGGGCTACAACTAAATTTTAGTGAGTAGGCAATTTCACAAATAGGAACTCTGCAAAGAATGAGGCTCAACAGTATATTGGAGAGAATCCCTGATGATGTTTTGGTGCTGATGGAGATATCTTCTCTAGGCAAGCTAGACTTGTAGACTTATAAACAAGGTACCTTCTATAGTCATCCCCCTAGGGTATCCACAGGGAATAAACGATGTGGACACCCGTGGTATCACACTGATTAAAAACAAGATGAAATTATTCTATTTCCTGGTATATTGGGAAAAAAGAAAAGTGAAGGAAAGTGAGCACAAATTGCTCGTGCTTCCTGATCTCCTGCCACGCTGCCAAACTAAAATATTTTCAAGATCTTCTTTGAGTTGGGCATGCTTGGAGATGGATACAATGTTTTTTGTCCTTTTGAATAATGACTTTAGTTACTTGTTCTAAAGAGAAAGTGACAGGATGAAGTCTGGTCTCAACTTTCAAATACATTGTCTTAGGATTGGGCTTCAGGTCTCTCATAGAATTTTCCCCACCCACATACTTCCACCTCTTTTCTGTTGCAAAGAGGAATAGAGAAATGGTATTTGCAGTGAGGCATATAGAAGTATGGGAAGGGTCTCTTTTTTAAAAGGAGAAAAAAGAGCTTGTGGTGGTGGTGTCCTTGGGTAGGCAACAGGAGATAGGATTAGAATACAAGTGGAGGTGTTGGCTTTCGGTAAGAACACAGACACTTATTCCATGGAAACAGGAGACGAGGCTCAACAGCAGGTTGCAGAGAATGCCTGCTAATGTTTTGGCGCTGTTTGAGATGTCTTTAAGCAAGCTGGGCTTAGAGACAAGATACTTTTACAGCCATCCCCCAGGCTACCCACAGGGATAAATGATGTGGGGACTCTGGCAGTACACTGATGTAAAAAAAAAATGAAATAAACATATTTCCTGGTATATTGGGCAAAAAGTAAAGGAAAGTGAGTGCATGAATTGCCTGAGCTTCCACCAACTCCAGTTGGGGTAGTAATAATAATATCATAGCTGATGTCCAATGAATATATTCCATGTACCAAGTACTATGCTATTAACTAGGACCATGTTATTAACTATGTTCTAGTTACTGATCATTGTAATAACCCTATGAAATAGAATTATTAACCTTATTGTATGCAGGTAAGAAGGCTGAGGTTTATAATTACATTTGGATCATTTACTTAAAATCACAGAGCTTTTTAGTGGTATAGCCAAGATAATGACTTAGATGGGTGTATCCCGGTGGACACTAAGCTTTTTACTTCAGAAAGAGGGTGTAATCAGTAGGGATAAGCTAGATTATGTACCAGTAACATGCAGTCCCCAAATCTCAGTGACCTGACGTCATAAAGATTTTTCATGTATCCAATGTATCCATGCTGGATCAGCTATGGGCCTGCACTCTGCTGTCTTTATTCTGAAACCCAGGCTGAAGCAACAGTCACCCTCTGAAATATTGCCAGACGTCAGAGTAGGGGGAAAGAAGAGATTGCTAGTTTGACTGACTTTTTGTCGTTGTTGTTGTTAGAAGATGTGTTCCATTTATCTAGGAACTATAAGATTTCTGTGGTTAGATCCTGATGACCATAATATGTTTCTACAATAGTGAATCTGCTTCTATATCCTTATTTAAAAGGTTGCAGCCAGGCGTGGTGGCTCACACCTGTAATCCCAGCCCTTTGGGAGGCCAAGGTGGGCGGATCAGGTCAGGTTGAGACCATTCTGGCCAACATGGGGAAACTCTGTCTCTACTAAAAATACAAAAAAATTAGCTGGGCGTGGTGGCACGTGCTTGTAATCCCAGCTGCTTGAGAGGCTGAAGCAGGAGAATCTCTAGAACCAGGGAGTTGGAGGTTGCAGTGAGCCAAGATCATGCCACTGCACTCCAGCCTGGTGAAAGAGCAAGACTCTGTCTCAAAAAAAAAAAAAAAAGTTGCATAATATTCCATACTATCACTATTCCGTTATTCGTTAAACAATCCCTTATCAGTCAGCCCCTATCATGTGAATGCTGGTGCTAATCTTTCACTCTTTTAACACAGAGCGGTTATATATATCTTCTACTGGGGGCAGCTCCTGTTTTTTTTCTTTTCAGTCTCACTCTGTCACCCAGGCTAGAGTACAGTGGCGTTATCTCGGCTCACTGCAACTTCTGCCTCCCAGGTTCAAGCAATTCTCCTGCCTCAGCCTCTCAAGTAGCTGGAATTACAGGTGTCTGCCACCATACCCAGCTAATTTTTGTATTTTTAGTAGAGACGGGGTTTCGCCATGTTGGCCAGGCTGGTCTCAAACTCCTGACCTCCAATGATCCACGCACCTCAGCCTTCCAAAGTACTGGGATTACAGGCATGAGCCATTGTGCCCGGGCTGTTATTTTCTTATTGGTTTCGATATGTGGACATTTACAGTTACTAAGAGGTTTTTTCTACCATAAATGTTGTGCATTGTTTTCATGGCTTTTCTCTTTGCCTTTTAAGTGTAGTTACGGCAGTTTTGAACAGAGAAATTTTCAAGAACTTTGTTGGAACAACCACATATGAGTAGATCAATACCCCATTTCCAGCCTTGTGCAGCATTTCGCTCATCAGAGCAAATGAAATCTGATTATGAACTTTGGGGTCCTAACATTCCACAGCCGTCCTTATCTTCTAGCATTTTTTAAAGTGACTCCTTGCATACTCTGATATGTATCTCTATAAACAGTAAAGAATAATAAATGAAACACATGAGAAAAGAAAAATAAGATTTCATATTATTAAAGGAAAAAGAGAACACTAGATTAGAAAGACAGATAGGGAAAATAGATATCCCTAAACAACGGCAGATGCACTAAGATACAAATCATCTTATATTTCTCTAGGTCATTTCTCTAATTTTTTTTTCCTCATTCCTTAGCCTGTAGCATTCAAGCGTACTTGTTTTTCAGCTCCAAGGCACAAACTTCAAATGCTTATACTTGCTCGAGTTTGATGACATCCAGGTACAAGTCTAGCATTTTGCTCTTTGGTGGAAAAGCAAATTCGTTATCCTCTGCTTAGGCAAAATGTTTTAGACTGAGACTTCTTTCACTTTCAGCATATCCATCAAACACTGAGACATTGTGGGATTTAAGGAGGCAGGGAACCTTAGGTGTTTTTACTTCATGAACTTGTATGCCACTTGAATTTTGGATGTGTTTGCAATTATTTTTATAAGAAAAATTAGTATGTGGTTAAGATTTGTAAATGAACTTAGGAATTATTGTAAAAAATCGAAAGTTTAATGTTTTTAACCATTTTATACAATGCTAAGGAATGTCTATAGATAAATACACATAGCTTTAAAGTCTATGGTGTTTTAGAGCAAAGTGGGGAAGATGTTTCTGTGTTACACTAAAAATAATATAGTTAAAGGGTTTCAAAGTTAAATGAAATCTTGATTTCACCGTCATTCACATGATTTCTTTGAAATGCGTTACTTGGCATTACTGTGTTCACTTTTCTCCTCTAGAAAACCACACATTGAATTATTCCAGAGTCTCTATTCAAGAATTACATTATAGAATATAAGTTAAAAGTAAGGAAGGGCGCGGTGGCTCACGCCTGTAATCCCAGCACGTCGGGAGGCCGAGACAGGCGGATCACGAGGTCAGGAGATTGAGACCATCCTGGCTAACAGAGTGAAACCCTGTTTCTACTAAAAATACAAAAAATTAGCCGGGCGTGGTGGCAGGTGCCTGTAGTCCCAGCTACCCTGGAGGCTGAGGCAGGAGAATGGCATGAACCCGGGAGGCAGAGTTTGCAGTGAGCTGAGATCTGCGCCACTGCACTCCAGCCTGGGCGACAGAGCGAGACTCCATTTCAAAAAAAAAAAAAAAAAGAAAAAAAGTTATAAGTAAATTTGACTTAAAAGATGGAGAATAAATTTTTTCAGTTAACTTTGAGGAATAAAATAAAAATATATTTGTAAATCACTGATATCAGAATGTACTGTATAGATATCATCACCATGGGAATTTATTAGAAATTATGTCCTCATTTTAACAAATATCTTGGCCAAGCATGATGGCTCATGCTATAATCCTAGCTTTTGGGGAGGCTGAGGCAGGAGGATTGCTTGAGGCCAGGGGATTGAGACCAGCCTGGGCAACATAGCAAGACCTTGACTCTTCAAAAAAAGTAGAAAATAAGCCAAACACAGTAGTGTATGACTATAGTCCTAGCTACTTAGAGAGCTGAGGCAGGAGGATTGCTTGGACTCAGGAATTCAAGGCTGCAGTGAGCTATGATAGCACCACTGCACTCCAACCCGAATGACAAACTAAGATTCTGTCTCAAAAAAAAAAAAAAAAATCTCTTAATGTAAGAAAACAAATACCCCATAGAAGTCTTGAATGTTACTGAATAGAAAACTTTCTGAATCATGCCATGAATAAGAAAGATCTACAAAAAAAAATAGTATTGGGAGTGTTTCCTTTAAAATAATTCATATCCTGAGAACTGTTTCATTACTTGATTCAACTTCTCCTGACCTTATGCTGATTATATGATAAAGTTTTATGAGGATGTATAAAATTTTAGCTGCTATCTTGGTGGTGGAAAAAAAAACCAACAGCAAGTTGACTGCTTAAACTGCTCTATTTTAAATAGTAACACAAAATTATGGCAAAGGTTTCCAAAGGATACAAATCATAAGTATTTTAAGACCCTGATTGATGGTTATTTTGCAATATTTTGAGATATTTCAAAATGGGTAGTATATTTTTCTTAGGTGAAAGCTATAACTTAAAGCATAAATGGCTGTAGGCTTCAGTTCTGAACTAAGTTAAAGTAGTATTCGGTTAAGGTGTCTTAAGAAATCATTTCTTTTTGGTGTGCCACCCCTAAAGAAAATGTAATGTACTCTTTGTTTTAATAGAAACCCATTTACCATGTAGATTCTACTGAGGCCACTAGGGTCAGAACTCACCATGTATGACAGCAATACATACACATGCTCCACATACACATAAATCATTAATCTAGAAACTTCATCTTTCTGGAATATAGTGAATCTCAGGAAATAATAGAAACAGTTGACATGCGGACCAAATCTTATGAGCCCTATGCTCATTAAAAACATCTTTAGGTTTTACCTTGGGTACTTTTTCTTGAGACAGGGTCTTTCTCTGTTGCCCAGGCTGGAGTGCAGTGGTGCAATTATAGCCTACCGCAGGGTCGACCTCCTGAGCTCAAGCAATCCTCTTGCCTCAGCCTCCCAGAGTGCTGGGATGACAAACCTGACCCACCACACCTGGCCAGTATTTTACTTTAGACACAGTTTTACCTGCTTTGTTTATGTGCTTTCCCTGTCTATAGCAAGTTAGAAGCAGTAAGTTAGAAGTTGGAGATATTGAAGGCAGCAAATTGACAACGGGAAACACTGATAACATGAAACTTGTGTATCAGAGATGAGACAAATCTTAAAGCATAGATTTAAGAACTCAGTAATAATAACTTGGAGCCATTTAGTACGCCACAGATAGCCCTGTGTATTGCAAAATAGTTTCAGAGAATCACTCTATCACTGACAAGTGCAATTGGTGTCCATAATAGTTAAAAGTTAACATTAAGTTAAAGATGCTGGTGCAAGCAAAGACACCTCTTACCCTCCAGGTCCCAGGGACATGATCAAAGATTGCAAACTCTAAGTGCTAAAGAAGAATGCTGTGTATTGGTAAGAATCTTTGCAGAATTTCTCCTAGATACAGAGTGGTGGATGCTGAATTGAGGGAGGCAGAAAGGGCTGGCTGGGAAATGTCTTCCCTTTAGAAGAGCATTTATCTCCAGCCTCACGACTATAGAGAGACCCAGCTTACTCCCTATTAGCTCAGCAAGGTAAAGAGGGAATATTTACCTAGTTTTTAAAGAAAATGCTTTTTATTCTAAGCTAAATATAAATAAGTAACTTAAAAATAAAATAAGCATTGATTTAATTCCATAAAAACAGACAGAGAAGAAGCTGAGTAAAGAGCAGAGAAACTATTACTGCTTTGCACCGATGGACAGTGAATATTATTTTAAGCCCTTTATGTACATTACTTCATTTAATGTTTACAATCTTCATGTAATCTTCAAATCAACCTTGTGAAATAGAGCTAGGAAGAGGACTTTTCCAGAGGTTATTTGCTGAATTTCAAATAGCTGGTAAGTAGTAGGACACATACAACCTGTGTTTTTTAACTAAGCGACACTACAAATAAGACTAAATATAAACCACAAGCAGGAAAAATAGTTTTCATAAATATTTCTGATAAATGGTTAATATATTTAACATAAAAATAATTCATATAATTGAAAAGAATAGCACTACTATCCCACAGAGAAAATAGAAGAGAAACAAATGACTAATAAATATGTGAAAAATATTTATCCCCAACATTTAAAAACCTATAATATTCAGTGATGGCAAGCAAGCAGTGAAACTGACACTCATTTTGCTGATGGAAGTGTGAATCTACATCTTTTCTAGAAAACAGTTTGTTAAAATATCTACCAATTCTTAGCTCAGTTATTTTGCTGTATGATTTATCCCAAGGAAATAATCTGTAATGCAAACTTTTTAAAGCATAATTTTAAAAAGATTAGGTCCAATACTTGTATAATGTATATAAACCAAAAAGAATATTGTGGCATTCTTTTTAATAACAAAAAGTTGTAAAAAAAAAAAACATTATAGTAGGAGAATACTTTAATAAATTATTTTAACTCTATTCAGTTTAATCATTTACCATAACAAACAGTAATGAATAATTTTGATAACATGCATTGGAAAATGCTTATAACAAGATAATAGTAGGATATAAAATTTTCCATATGTGATGTTATGTCAAAATAAAGCATATATGCACAAAAATTAGATAAATAATCTCATCATATACCTTTCTGTTCTGTTCAATTTTTTATGATAAACATAGATAAGTTCTATAATAGGAAAAATGATTTTTAAAGATTAAGACTTATAATTATAGCATTCATATACTAAAATGAAGCTTCCCATAAATTTGTTACTGGTTGACTTTTTGTTTTGATTTATTTTCTTAACAATTTACTGGGCTCCTGTATAGTGCAGAAACTTTGCCAGATACTAACGACACCAAAGTGAACAAGACTTCATCTCTGCCCTCAAAGAACATACACTCTAATAGGGAAATCAGCCAGTCAGGTAAACAAATAAGAATAATTTATAAATGTGATATGTCTTATAGAAGAAAAAGTATTAAAGCATAAAGGAGGGTCATGTTCATCTGCTTAGGGGAAAAAGTAAGTTGTCAAAAAAGAAGGAATATGTGTGCTCAGGTCTGAAATGGTGTCTTCCGGCCTAGAACCAGCCCAGTCCATTTCACGTGGAGGACATACGATGAATCTAGACCAGGAGACTGAACGGACTTCTCATCAGGGAATGACAAGAAACTCCGTGAAGCCGCAGTGCAGCAAATGTAGAGGAAAGTGAATTACCTCTAAAGAAAGCTGGAGGCAGAGAACAAAGGGCCATGCACATCAATATAAAGTTTGGGCTTTATTCTGTAAAGCCATCAGAAATTGAAAATTTTTAAAGCGTCATTTAAAATGGTGTCACAATAGAGGAACTCCCTAGAGGTAAATCTGACAAAAGACATGAGAGATCTGTACCTTGAAAGCTACAAAGTTATTGCTGAGACAAATTAAAGAGGACATAAGTAAATGCAGGGTAAGCTATGTTCATAGGTTGGAAGACAGCTGAGATGTCAATGCTTCCCAAATTGATCTGCAGTATCATTGCCAAATCAAAACTCTAATAGGTTGTTTTTTGTAGAAACTTACTTTTTTTTTTTTTGAGTCAGAGTCTCGCTCTTGTTGCCCAGGCTGAAGTGCAATGGCATGATCTCAGCTCACTGCAACCTCCACCTCCCGGGTTCAAGCGACTCTGTTTCCTGACTCAGCTTCCCGAGTAGTTGGGATTACAAGTATCTGCCACCATGCCTGGCAAATTTTTATATTTTTTAGTAGAGACAGGGTTTCACCATGTTAGCCAGGCTGGTCTCGAACTCCTGACCTCTGGTGATCCACCCGTCTTGGCCTCCCAAAGCGCTGGGACTGCAGGCGTGACCCACCACGCCTGGCTAAAACTATTTCTAAAAATAATATGGAAATGCAAGGGGCTTTGAATAGCCGAAACAACTGTGAAAGATAAAGAAAAGTTAGAGAGCTAACACTGCATGGATTCAATTATTATTATAAAGATACATAAGCTAAATAGTATGGCATTGGAATAAAGACAGCCAAATAGATCAATGGAACAGCATAGAGGATCCATAAATAAACTCGTGCTTATATGACAACTGATTTTAACAGCAGAGCAAAGGCAATGTGGTAGAGAAAGGATAGCCTTTTTAACAGATGGTGCTGTAACACTGGGTAGTAACATGCAAAAACGAAATTAACTTGGATCCTTTTCTTGCACCATATATAAAAATTAACTCAAAATGGGTCACTGACCTAAATATAAGACCTACAACTCTTAAACATGTTGAAAAAAATCAGGAGAAAACCTTTACAGGCTTGGATTAGGCAAAGATTTCTTAAATGCAACACCTAAAGCACAATCCATAAAAGCAAAGTGATAAGTGAAACTTCATAAAAACTAAAAACTTCTGCTCTTCAGAAGACTTTTATGAAGCATACGAAAAACCAAGTCACAGACTGGGAGAAAAATCTTTGCAAAGCATATATCTGACAAAGACCTAATATCTAGAATGTATGTAAGAATGCTTAAAACTTAATAAAAAATATATATATATAAATATGAGCAAACAATTTGAACAGACACTGCACCAAAGGAGATAAATGAATGGAAAATTAGCGATGAAAAAATACTCAGTATCACTAAGGATATGTACATTAAATCCACAATGACACCCCCACTAGAACAGCTAAAATTAAAAAGATTGACCATAGCAAGTGTTGACAAGTGTGGAGGAACTAGAACTCTCACATACTGTTAATCAAACTGTATAATGGTACCACCACCTTGGAAAACAGGTTGACAGTTTCTTACAATGTTTAATGATCTAGACATTCTACTCCTAGGTATTTTTACCCAAGAGGAAAGAAAGCACATGTCCTCAGAAATGACTTGTACCCAATGTTCATAGCAGCTGTATTTGTAATAGCCAAAAATTGGGAACAGCCCAACATATATCCATAAGTGAAGAATAGCAAATTGTGGTACACCCATATAATGGAATACTACTCAGTGATATAAAGAATGAACTTTTGATACTTGCAACAAGATGGATGAACCTCACAATAATTATGCCAAGTGAAAAAAAGCCAGACAAAAAAATGCATACCATATGATTTCATTTATATAAAACTCTAGAAAATGCAAACTCACCTACAGTGATAGAAAGCACACTAGCGGTCTCCTGTGAAGTGAGGCGTGGCAGGGAAGGGTGGCAGGGAAAAAAGAGGCCTCACTTGGAGGATGAGGGGTGTGTTTACTGTCTTGATCATGGTAGAGGTTTCATGAGTGTATCATATGTCAAAACTTACCAGATTGTATATTTTAAATAAGTACAGTTTATTGTAAGTCAGTTATACCTAAATAAAACTCTTTTTCATTGAAGTTCTAGTTTCCAGTTCCATTAGAAATTGAATGGGACTTTCAACTTTGTCTATTCTAAACACATATGTAAATAACCAATGTCCAACTAATGAGGCTGGCTTACATGGAAAAAGTGTATCTGGAAAATAAAAATGTTAACTTTTTGTCTAGCATAGTATAGGTGAGAAAGAGGCTGAATCTGACATGTGCAAGTATTCCTATATAAGAGAACTTATCTCTTCTGTAGAGAATGTGTATTACCATAAACTTTCACCATGAAACATGCCTGAAGGTTTGCACAAATCCGTGCTCACTAAGGAGACTTCTGCCTGGCTTCCCAGGAATCTTGATAGGGGATAAAAGATGACCTCAATAGGAAATAGATGCATCCCAGGCACTAGAATTTTAAATTCCCACATTAAAATTAATAAATTGACTTTCTGACTTATGTATCAGTCTCATATAAGTTCATTATCCATCAAATCTTCTTTGATTTTACTAAAGAAATCCAGATTCCAGACCTGCAAGGTTAAAGAAACAAACCTTACTTTCTAGTGAAATTACTAAGCTGTGCCACCACCTGTGCTTCTGAGTACAGCCTTCTCCTGTAACCCCCACTATAACGATAATTTCTCTTCAAGCAAAGCTTCAGCAAGAAGATTCTGATTTAAAAGCTTTTGCTATATTTCTTCAAGAAACTAATCGTTTTCTTAAGAAAATCCTAAGAGTCTTTCTCCATTTGCATAAGGGAAAAACATTCTGTAGTAAGGCATAGGCTGTGATATTTTTACAAATGACCCAATTACTCCTCTTTTAGAATCTTTAAGCATTCACCATTAAAGAATTTCTGGTCACACATACAGACATTTTTTATAATTATGGAGAAAACTCCAAAAAAAGCTTTTAGAAGCAAAAATAAGACTTTTAGTTTGAAGCAGAAATAAAATTATTTAGGATTTACATGGACTTTTATGGATTTTCAGGCAATGTGGGGGAGGTAAAATTCTGAGGCAGTATTGAAGTTGTTCTTTCCAGAATAAAACTGGACCTGCAACCTGTATGTGTAAACAGACATCAACTGAGGTTGAGGTTCTGGTCATCTTCTCCCTTCATAAATATTAGTAAATGCATTTTCATGATTTCTCATTCAGGGTGCAGTTCTAGGCACTAGGCGAAGTGATATCAAATCATCATGGTCATTCCTCATCACTGAAGAAATAATTTACAAATACAATCACGTTTAACAAAAACAAGCCTACAGAGAGGCCAAGAGGGCACCTGCTTGTCTTATTTATCTCTGTGCTTACGGGAGCTGCATTTTTTTTTCTTTCTAACTTTTATACTTTTATTTCAGGTTCAATGGGGTATGATATGGTTTGGCTGTGTCCCCACTCAAATCTCATCTTGAATTGTAGCTCCCACCATTCACACGTGTCATGGAAGGGACCCAGTGGGAGGTAATTGAATCATAAGGGCAGATCTTTCTCATGCTCTTCTCATGATAGTGAATGAGCCTCATGAGACCTGATGGTTTTATCAGGAGGAGTTTCCCTGCAAAAGCTCTGTCTCTTGCCTGCCACCATGTAAGACGTGCCTTTCACCTTCTGCCGTGATTGTGAGGCCTCCCCAGCCAAGTGGAAATGTGAGTCCATTAAACCTCTTCCTTTGTAAATTACCCAGTCTCAGGTATGCCTTTATGAGCAGCATGGGAACAGACTCATACGGCATACATGCACAGGTTTGTTACATGAGTATAAATTGCGTGTCATGGAAGTTTGGTGTACAGATAATTTTGTCACCCAGGTAATGAGCATAGTATCTGATAGGTATTATAGTTTTTCAGTCCTAACCCACATCCCTCCCTCCACCCCCAGTGTCTACTGTTTCCTTCTTTGTGTCCATGTGTACTCAATGTTTAGCTCTCACTTATAAATGAGAACATGCAGTATTGGGTTTTCTGTTCCTGTGTTAATTCACTTAGAACAATGGCTTCCAGAGAGCTGTATTTTTATATAGAGTCACCCCAGTAGGAAGTGATTTTCTTTTTTCCAACTGATCATACAAGACTTCATGGTGACGTTAGCGAGAAAGAAAACGGGAGTAACTTGATGAGTAAACTCCTTGCTGCTTTTATATTTGAGTCTGCAAGTCAGTCCACAAAGGATTGCACAGAGCCATAAATGATAAGAAGCAAAGAGTGGGTATCATTCTCTGAATGCAAGTATATAGAATCACAGTGTGAGAAAACACGCCTGCATAGACAACTACATAAGCTGTAAGCCCTGCACTCAAGCTGAAATAAAAGCTAATGAGAAAGAAAATCAAGTAGGTTTAACTGCCTCTTCCAACAAACCCTCCTCCCCGCAAAAAGTTCACTCATCAGGACACATGCTTAGAAAATAATCTCATGCGTAATAATCTAAATGGGTCCTGTGGACACGGTGCTGAGTTGTAGATCTAGAGACTGACAGCCCATGGCAGTCCTACACAGGGTTGCAAAAGGATGAAAACCCAACATCAGTGTCCCTTTGAGTTTTTGTTAGTTTTGCTCATTTGTCAAACTGTTGTTTGATTACTATAGAAAGTATAGAAAGTAAAATATGGTTTGCTCGGATTTTTTTTTTTTTTTTTTTTTTTGAAGACAGAGTCTCCCTCTATCGCCAGGCTGGAGTGCAGTGCTGCAATCTCGGCTCACTGCAACCTCCATCTCCTGGGTTCAAGTAATTCTCCTGCCTCAGCCTCCTGTGTATCTGGGACTACAGGTGTGCGCCACCATGCCCCGCTAAATTTTTTGTATTTTTAGTAGAGACGGGATTTCACCATGTTGGCCAGGTTAGTCTCAATCTCTTGACCTTGTGATCTGCCCACCTCAGCCCCCTAAAGTGCTGAGATTACAGGTGTGACACCCTGCGCCCAGCCAAATCATTTTTAGTGGTGAATAAAGCACTACTTGAATCCTGGCTCAGTCTTTCACTACCTGGGAACAAACTTCCCATGCATCACTTTTCTCATTTTTTAAATGGGTATAATAAGACATAACGGCAGTACTAGAGATATTATACAGCACCCAGCACAGTCCCTGACAGACAGTAGGTTCACCATAAATAAAAATGGCCACTAGGCCGAGGCGGGCAGATCACGAGGTCGGGAGATCGAGACCATCCTGGCTAACACGGTGAAACCCCGTCTCTACTAAAAATACAAAAAATTAGCTGGGCGTGGTGGTGGGCGCCGGTAGTCCCAGCTACTCGGGAGGCTGAGGCAGGAGAATGGTGTGAACCCGGGAGGCAGAGCTTGCAGTGAGCCCAGATCGTGCCACTGCACTCCAGCCTGGGTGACAGAGCGAGACTCCGTCTCAAAAAAAAAAAAAGAAAAAGAGAAGAAAATGGCCACTAATAACATTTGAGTGAGACTTCATCCCCAGCCTGTTTTTGCTATCTAAAAAATGTATCCTGACTAAATAAACACGTAAAAACATGCTAACTTTCCTTTTTTGATGGTTTATATACCTGTAAAATGAAGCTAGCTAGGTGGAGTGCATATTTAAATCAGAAATAAAAATACATTTGTAAACTGTTTATTTGGAACCTTTTGAGAGAAGACATTCTGAATTGCACCCTTGATACTTTAGTGGAAATAAAATGCTACCTTGAGAGTCCATTACTCCTCATTTATATAATATAAAACATTCTTCTGTAAGACGTAGTGTATTATGAAAGCAACAAAGGCTTCCTTTATTGCTGACAGATTGTTAAAATAACACACAAAATCCGTGTCAGAGAAATAGAGCATGGCACTATGCATCCGAGGCTTTAGAGAAGGATTCCCCGAAGAAAACCTGTGAAAAAGTTCACAAATCAAAGAGAAAAAAAAAACCCTCAAAAATAGGAGCTTTAAATATGTATTTTATTATTCGCTTCACTGTTTGTTATATAAGGGCTCAAGGATTCGAGAAACTTTTTCAGAAATACGATTTTTTGGCAGTTGTATGTTGCCAGATTGAATATCTGTCTAAATATCCTTATCTGAGTAGTTAGTAAAAACTGATGGTTATAATAATGAAAAGAAACTCAGCAACAAAAATCGCTTTATAGTCAGCATTCTCATATTTATGATTCATAAAAGTATTTGAACCCTTCAGAATACATCTAGTAATTTAGTTTTATAAAAACAATTTCAAATAGACTCAGAACTCTTTCTAAAAATTAATTTTAAAATATGAGGAAATAAAACTGATACATTAAAAGATCTAGGGACTTGAAAATCAGAAGACAAAGTCAGTTTTTGCTATTGTTTAAATGAAATTTAGAGACAGCTAAAGGGAATTTTCCACCTTATCTACCCTAAATGAGAGGACAAAAGGGTGGAGAGTCCAGACTACCAGCAGTGACCTATGAGATTAAAAAGAAGTCTCATTGTCGCAATTTTATCATCACTTGTAAGTGATAAAGTGCCAAAAGACAGGCTTGTGGCAGTAGCAATACATTTTCTTCGAGGCAGTAAAATCATCAACAAGGTGTCTGTATATGTGTAGCCCAGCTTGAATATGAAAGCAATTTTCCAGTGCCCTGTAGTTTAATTTCATTGTTTTCGTGAAGAACGAATATCCTAGATCACAATCTTCAGTGACTGATTGTAATGGACACAGCTTGAAAAATGAATGGGCGAGCTCCCCAGATGATTACTGGACAAGGCTTCAATACCATCAGCAGCAATATTTGCATTTATTTAAGCAGAGATTAAATGCTAACAGGACTGCTGTACATTTGTCTGCATGGCCTCCTTGCATGATTTTTCTATTAAAGTGGAGAAAAGACAAGATTAGAATGGGACAAAAGAAAGAAACATTTAAGGACATGTTTTACTGTAATATAAAAATTAATGTATGCATTATATGAAAGCACCTAATTATGTTTAAACACCCATTATTTAAAAATAAAACAATTCCACTAAGAATATAAATGTCATTTAATTATATCACTTTCAAAAAGTTCATTTTAGGCTAGTTTTTCAAGTTGAAGACAAACACAAAGTTAGAAAAATATTAACATATCACCTTTGAGTATTTAATCCAGCTATGATCAAAGGCAGTTTTAATTATTCAGATTCCTCAACAGCTTTTATGGATAATTTTATGGCCAATAATTACTTGAGTAGGAATGTTGCTTAGAAAAGGGTAATAACTTCTATGTGTGAAGAAATAAGTAGGTTGTCATGGGTCAAAAATTAATTGCTCTCTCTGTTCTTTTGTACTTGTTTGTGTGATTGGTTAAGTTTATGCCTTGGGAGGTTTTCTTTTTCTTTGGAGATTTTCTCGGAGGGATCTTTTTGCTGCTTAGCGCCACAAGGGGACGTATATATCAGATGATCCCAAATGAGGGCTTGATGATACTCATTTTACAACTTGCATAAGTGTGTGTACTTAAGAAATTGGCAAGGGTACTCAAGCAGTTGGTTTAGAGACACACAGGGGATAGCAAATGACAGGGAAGTAAAAAAAGATTGTAGTACACAGGGGAGAAGGAATAGGAGAGTATTGATGGCCTGACGACTTTAACTCCAATGCATTGGAAGACGCTAGGGAGAAATAGTAGCATTATTCTCAGTTAATAATATGCAGAATTATTATTCAGTAGAATTCTCAGCAAATAATGTATTTCCTGTTAGTTGCATTTTTAGAACAATTACAAGAAAGACCTTTTTATTTCAGTCTTTACCTTTCAAAATGTTTCCAACATAAGACGGCTTTTGTTTTAGTGTGGTCAGTGTATTGGTTAGCAGGCCCATACTAACCATTGGCTAGTAGAGTTCCATATGGTGATTTAAGGTCTTGCAGAAGCTTATTAGGTACATCAAATATCACTGTCAAATTGTATAGATGTAGAGGGAAAAAAGTATAAATGACTGGATTTAATGTGAGTAGACTTAGAACATCCTTAAGGAGTTGACTATTTAATCAAAGCCTAGTATTATTCCTATCGACGGTACGCTTTCTGACTTTTTAAAAACAATATTGAGGCAATATTCTTGTTTCTTGGGTATTTCCTTCAAAGTTTCACTTTTCTAGAAAAGCATGATACAAAGAAGCAAGCAACTTGATTTTGTGAAGCATTTGCTAACCACACGTTTAATAATTCTTGCTTATATAAGGAACAGGTCATAATGGTGAAGCCAAAAGCCTAGCATGTTTTTTAACACATCATCTAAAGAAATCATGAGATCTCTAAGGATACAGATGGAGATTAGGCAGCCACCTGGTTAGAATGGGTTAGTTTTAGGTGGTCCCAGAAACAAAAGTGTAGTGCTACATCCGATTCTATGAGTTTATCCTTCATACAACAGGATTTAGATGTCTTTATATACTGGGAAAAAAATCTAAATTCTCCATTATTTCCTTCATTTGCAAAACAATTCCTCATACTCACTCTAACTCTGAGGTTTTAATTACCCATTTTTGTTGGGAGTGATTCTTCCACATTTAAATGTAGTACAAAAATGTAAAAATTGAAAGGAAGCCTCTAAGTACTCTTGTCTACCCTCTTCCTTTTGATAGTAAAATGAAATAAGGCAGACAAAAATAAGATGATTTTTTCAAAGATCACACAAATAAGGCTGGGCATGGTGGCTCACACGTATAATCCCAGCACTTTGGGAGGCCAAAGCAGTAGACTCACTTGAGTCCAGAAGTTTGAGACCAGCCTGGGCAACAAATGGAGACCCTGTCTCTACAAAAAAATTAAAAAATGGCCTGGTGTGGTGGTGAGCACCTGCAGTTCTGGCTACTTAGGGGGCTGAGGCAGGAAGATGGTGCGATCCCTGGAGGTCAAGGCTGCAGTGAGCTATGATTTTACCACTGCACTGCAGCTGAGCGAGACCCCGTCTCCAAAAATAAAATAAAAACAAAGATCACACAAATAAATCACTGTATAGCCAGAACTAGAATCCCAAGCTTTCTCTGCTTAGTATATGAGTCCTTCATATTTTACAAGAAAAGTGGTTCTGAGTTCATCTATAACCAAACTATGCATCATAGTTTAGGCAAAAACTATAAAAGCGTCCCTGCGTTATGTAACATACGCTACTTTACATTGTGGTTTTCTTATCCCTCCCACCGTGCATAACCCACTCCAAAAATGAGGATGAAAAGCCCAGATCACAATATATCAATGAAAGATTTGTCTTTCTGGAACCACAATATGGACATACTCTAGAAGGTGAGTATGTCCCTGGAAGGAAACGAATGTTATTCCTGGCACAAAAAATGACGTGTAGAAACCCCTTCAGGCTGGAGGAAGAAAAGATTTACTTCTCCCTGGTGTAAATATTCTAATGTAGAACTTGCTAGTATGTATATGTTTCAGTTTATTAAAAGACAAATGTAGTTTTAATTGATTTTTGGCTTGATTTAATATATTAGTCTTGGCCAGGTGCAGTGGCTCACACCTGTAATCCCAGCACTTTGGGAGGCCAAGATGGGTGGATCACTTGAGATCAGGAGTTTGAGACCAGACTGGCCAACATGGTGAAACTCCATCTCTACTAAAAATACAAAAATGAGCCAGGCATGGTGGTGGGCACCTGTAATCCCAGCTACTAGGGAGGCTGAGGCAGGAGAATTGCTTGAACCTGAGAGGTGGTGGTTGCAGTGAGCCGAGATCACACCACTGCACTACAGCCTGGGTGATAGAGTGAAAATCTGTCTCAAAGAAAAAAAAAAATAGTCTTAAGACTTCGAGAAATAGCATACCTGAGAAGATAATCTGTGTCAATTATAAAATAAATCATTTTAAAAATATGTAATTTATAAAAGTTACCAGTTGGTAGAAAATACAATAAAACCCAACATCAGCTGTTGCATGTATGAACAAACTTTCTAGGATTTTACAAAACTATATACCAACTCGATGTAACAGATGTCACCACCTAACAACAAAAGAATGCACATTTTCCTAAAGTGTCCATGGAACTTTCTCTAGGATTAACTCTAAGTTAGTCCACAAAATAAGCCTCATTAAATATATAAGGATTGAAATCATATATATTCCACAACAATAAAGAAATGAAATTAGAAATCAATAACAGCAGGAAATTTGGGGAATTCACAAATATGTGGGACTTAAACAATGCTCTTTAATAACCAATGGATCAAAGAATAAATCACAATGAAAATTAGAAAACACCTTCAGATAAATGAAATGAAGATGCAACAAACCAAAACCTATGCATCCATAGCTAAAGCAGTAACTAGAGAGAAATTTATGCTGTCACTGCATGTAATAAAAAATGAGAAACATCTCAAATAATAATCTAGCCTTCCAACTTAAAAATTAAACTAAACCCAAAACAAACAAAAGAAATAAGACAATAAATCATTCAACTCTAAAAAAGAACTAAGTCTTGCATTTGCCGGAACATGAATGAGATGAGTTGACATTATGCTAAGTGAAATAAGCCAGCTACAGAAAGAAAAATATTGCATGATCTCACTTACATGTGGAATCTAAAAGAAAACAATTTAATACAGGGAGATAGAAAACAGGTGTTACCAGGAATGGGAGGGAAGGAGGTAGGTAAGAGGCAATGGGGAGATGAAGGTAAAAGAATACAAAATAGCAGATATGTAGGATGATCAAATCTAGAGGTCTAATGAGGACCATAAGTAATAAATTTTACTGCATATGGGGTTCATGCAAAATGAGTAGATTTTTGCTGCTTTTGCTGTAAAAACAAAACAGGTAACTATGTGAGATGATGGATATGTTAATTTGCTACACAATTGTAATGATTTTACTATCTATATTATAACATCACATTGCATATCTTAATTGTATACCAAAAATTATTTTAAAATAAGCTAATGAATACAGCAGAAATAAATGAAATAATAAATCAAAAAGCAATAAAGAAAATTAACAAAACCAAAAGTTGGTTCTTTATAAAGATCAGTAAAAATTACAAACCCTTAGTTAAACTTACAGAAATATAAATGATTATTTAAAATGCCATAAACAACTTTGTCATTAAATTTTATAATGTAGATGAATGAAAAAATCCTAGAAAGACATAAACTACTGAAACTGACTCTAGAAGAAATAGAAAATCTGAATAGATCTATAACAAGTAAAGAGATTGAATTATGAATGTGAAACTTCCCACTAAGAAAATCTCATGGCCAGATGGCTTACTGCTGAATGCTACCAAACATGAAACAATTCATAGCAACTCTTCACAAACTCTTCCAAAAAGTAGAATAGAGAACGTTTCCTAACTAATATTATAAAGCGGTTATTACCCTGACACTGAAACCAAAGACATTACAAAGACATCACAAACCGATATCCCTTGGGAAAGCAGATGCAAAATTTTAAAACAAAATACTGTTATATATAAGAGACAGTTTGTCCTAAGTGAAAAACCCAAGGACTTCCTCCATAAGGAAAGTATCCTAACTTTAGTACAAAAGCTCTGGGTCAGGCTAAGTCAGTCTTGATCACAATCGTGTATGAGCACAAAGGGGCTCACATATTTTATTGAAGGAATTAAATTATTTAGGGTATTGTACTCAAAGTCTTATTTACTCACTTTCTGATTCTTGGCTCTATCAAAGATAATTGAGGTTGTCAGGTAACTGAAGATAAGTGAGGCTTTAAAGTACTTAGGTGGTATGGTCTATATGTGTTCCCCAAATTTCATGTGTTGGAAACTTAATCCCTAATGCAAGAGTGTTGATAGATGGAATGTTTTGAAAGGTTAGGTCAGGAGGGCTCTACTCATGAATGGATTAATGCTCTAATAAAAGAGCTTGATGGAGGGATATTGTCTTCTTTGCCCTTCAAGCTTTTGCTATGTAAGGACACAACAAGAAGGCACTCACCAGTTGCCAGTACCTTAATCTTGTTCTTCTTAGCCTCCAGAATTTCTGTTCTTTTAAAAATTTGTTTTAGCAACACAAATGGACTAAGACAGCAGGATAAGTGAGGCTTTAATGTGCGTGTATATATAACGTGTACATATATATGTACACACACATATACACATACGCACACACACATACATACACACACTTTTAAGTTGAATAGTTCAAGAATGGTTCGATTTATTCAATTTTTTGCTGATCCTAGATTATATTTTTCTATCAATAAGCTGCAATATATTCTACTTTATGAAGTACCTTTATTAACTTGGGGAATATAAAGAATATTTTCTCACTTAGTTTGGAATAAAAACTGTGAATTTGTATTGTCTAATCTTATCTTCCATCCTACTTCCCCCAACACCAATTTTTATTTCGCCCACTTAGTGAGCATATAGAAAGAAGCAGAGAGCAACTAAAATAAAAACAAATATGAAGGGAAAAACTAAAATGTCATGCTCTATTACAGTTACTGATGGTATTTAACATGGTGAGCCACTTGATACTTAGAACCCCTTACAAGTTTTCCTTTGCTGAGTACCTCTCTCTATTCTATAGCCTGCTTCTCAGCTCCTACCTCATATCCCTGGCAATTAGACACAACTTCCTTCATGCCCTTGTAGCTCCCGTGTGCTTATATTCTAGCTGTATTATATTGTGTAGTAAAATATCACAATTAAGAGCACAGTCTGGAATCTGGATTCAAAACCTGACGTCAGCATTTACTAACTGTACGATCTTGGGCAATGCACTAAATCTCCCTGTGTCTTATGTTCCTATCTGTAAAATAATGTGTCTATAGCAGATGGCTGTTGTGAGTATTAAATGAGATAATCTATGTGAAACTCGGCAAGGTTCCTGGTATTCAATGTGTTCAATTAGTGACAGTATGGTTTCCTTTTTTTTCTCCCCCCTGAATTGTGAACAATGGTATTCCTAATGCCTACCACAGTTCTTGCTCCATGATATTATATACCTAAATCTTCAATAAATTGCTAGAAACTAGAACATAATTTTTCTATATGTTCATAGAAATATACATGCAGGTTTACACCATTTCAGAAGGAACCACTAATCTTAAATCTTGTTGGAACAGGAATCAGTGGGTACAAAATGCTATGAAACTGTATATGCCTGGGCTTATAACAAAGTCATCATAATTTCTGAAAATTGTACAGAGGCATCCCTGAACTGGAATTATGTTTTCTTGTTTCCTTGTAACAGGTTACTCATTTTCCTGGTCAAAAAATTCTTCTTACAGCAATATTTTGCATAGAGAGACCATAACTTTCAAAAAGATAGACCATCTAAGAGGGAAGAGAATGTTCAACAGGAGGAGAGGAGAAATAGCAGAGATTTTTTTTTCTTTTTTAAGAGGTATTCAGATTCTGATTTGAGAACTGTCCAGATTTTAAATAACATTTGCCCAAGTTACCTGAGCAATCCTGCTTGAACACACCGATTGTGGAATATCACTGGGATGTCTCTACCACGTTTTATTCTGTACTTTCTTCCCCCACAGCCATGATCCCCCCCATCCCTCAAAATTAACAGGTCTTAATTTTAAAGAAATCAAACAAAAAACAAATCCAGGTTATACACATTTTAAGAATCAAAGCTTTGACTTCACCTTTCAATCCTCTTATTAATACCCACATCATGACTCTTGTCAAGAAAAAGGTTTAGTGTCGCGGTCCTCAATCAGTATTTCTACATTCACTTTCATTAGGAGCCATGTTTTCCTGACAAAGGATAACAAATGGATACTCTTGGTCCCTAATGTGCTTTTGACTACAGATTCTGCACCATTTCTCTGTTAAGCAATTGCAATTATTTGTCATTTTAATATGACTTGGCAAGGAGGTCTGAAAAACATGGCTATTATTCATCAATATGTATATTTTGCACTTAATATTCGAATATCATTATTACTCACCTCACATTGTATGAGCAAAATAAAATTATACCATGTAAAAAATGCATTAAATTCTCCTCAGCTGCACTCATATAGCAAAAGTAAAGGTAATTTAAGAGTTTGCACCATTTATATGCTAAATGCTACCATTTATTATTATTAGTGAGGAAATACTTGTAACTTTATGCTAATGGAAAATATATCAATGTGTTTCCACTATTAATTGGAAAACAATATAGCTAATATTAAAACCCAAACCTTTTAAAGAATATCCATCCTTTTACATCCCAAAATGTTATAGTGCCTAATTTTTTTTATCATACTAGCATAATATAAGTGTAATTTTGATATTAGAGTAAAATTCTTTAATTCTTTACTTTTGCATCTTCTTCTGGAGGTTTTTGCACATAGAATTAGTTTTAGTTTTGAAAGCTTTGAAATTCAAGAATGAGTGTTGTAAACAAATACTAATAATTTATCAGCCAACCATCTCTCAGTGGATATAGTTAATTTTGTATCATAGTGAAGCATGTTAAACCCCTATGCTGTTCTGCATAGTTTTAAATTATTTCTATAATTTCACCAATCTTTTTTTCTGTTACAAATCTACATCTACATGAAATTGAAGTGTGCTTCAAATAAATACATGAATTTTAAAAATTGCTACATGCTAAGAAAATGGAAGGGAAGGGCAACTTTTTTAGAACCTGTTTCTCAGACTTAGGGGCAACACACACACACACACACACACACACACACACACACACACAGCAATAAGAACCAAAGGAAAGCCAATCAAGTGACTTTCGTGCTTCTAACATAAATAGGCCCTGTATCCTCATAGTTTAAAGTAAAATTAAACTTTTATCCATTCAACAAGTATTTACTAAGTAGCTTGTAAAAGACCAGGAACATTTTTAGAGCACCTAATGTGTGCAAGAGACTATACTAAGGCCTGATTTCAGCTCATAAGACTTAGAAAGATGGGGAGCCAGGCAACAGCCTCTTATCTAAGAAACCAAACAAGGGGCAAAAACCAAAGCAAAGCATCGTGGTTGTTTATGCTGGTCGATGGAATGGTTAGAGTGGAAAGAAGAAGCCTAGAAATACTTCAGGGAACAAGGACATCATCGGGGCAAAAACTCTGATCCTTCCCTGAGAAAACATACCTCCCCCAAAAGAATTTGAGGTCATATTAAATTTTAGAGAAATATTTTAAAAAGTAGGTACAACTCTTCCAAAACTACATACATATGGGAGATGGTAATATGCTTTCTTATATCTGTCAAGCTATTAACGACCTTTCCATTTTCATCAAACAACCCCAAGTATACAAATAAATACTACCTCCAAACACCGGACAACCAAAATGAAACAAAATAAAATAACTAATGTAGCATGGCACCAGGAAACCATTAAGTCCAGCACATCCATTTGTTGATGTGTGATCTTGGGTATTATCTTTTCATAGGTTCTGTTTCCTTATCTATTAAAGTGGGATAAATACCTGCCATCTGGTATTGTAAGAATTCAGTAAGAGAGGTATAGGAAAGTGCTGCACTAAATCTAAACACATAGCCAAGCACAGTGGCTCATGCCTGTAATCCCAGCACTTTGGGAGGCCCGGGGCAGGTGGGTCACTTGAGGTCAAGAGTTCGAGACCAGCCTGGCCAACATGGTGAAACCTTGTTTTGACTAAAAAAAAAAATACAAAAACTAGTCAGGTGTGGTGGTGGGTGTCTGTAATCCCGGCTACTCAGAAGGCTGAGGCAGGAGAATCACTTGAACCCGGGAGGTGGAGGTTGCAGTGAGCTGAGATCACACCATTGTACTCCAGCCTGGGCAACAGAGTGAGAGTCCATCTCAAAAACAACAACAACAACAAAACTCTAAAGACATGTAAGATGTCATTTATTATTATTTTCTTACAAATCCAGAAGCTGAGAAGGGTTGGGAGACAGAAGTTGAAGTAAGAATAATACGTGGGTTAAAACTTTCTCCTCCAAAAGGAGATCCAGAGCACTGGTATTCATTCATTTATTTGTTTTCTACAGAGTAGTTGACTCTCAGAGCTCTTGTCATAATATAGAATCACTTTTCCCTTGGAAGTTATTATATATGATTTTTTACATATAGTGAGAAATTAGTCATGAGCATTTTAAAAAAAACAAGATTGAAAAATCTCAGCAACCAATTTTTGCCTCTAGATGGGTTTATATGAGAAACAAGATAGAGTTAATGACACATGAAAAGGAACCATACAACACCTAACTTCTATTCCTGGCTTTGTCACTAATTAAAATGGAACTAATCCCAGTGATAATTTTTCAATACCATTTCCTTCTCTATAATATGTGGATGATAAAATCCACTTCTTATCCCTTTAAGAATATTAAACTACCAGGTATCTGTTGAAATGATAAAGTTCTATAAGATGAGGGGGAATCCCTACATTTACAATGGAAGCAAGAGAAGAGGACTATCTGCCTCAGAGAAAGGTTGAGGAATAACTGACAGATTTAAAGCCATTTGGGCCAGATTAATGTGAGACCTTACCCAGGGCTCGAATACAGTCCTCTGCTCAACAAGAGAAATCAGAGCAGTACTTTAAGGAAATGAGCTTCTTCCAGGACATTCTGGAGGAATGTAAGTAACATCCTTTGATTTGGAGGAGTTTCATCTGACTGTGATGGTGGCAGTCCCTGTGAGGATCACACCAATGGAAATTCCTTTGATAGCCTGGAGGTCCCTGTGTCTGTAAGCAGAGCCCCGGGACTTACACAGAATTATACCCATCAGAGAGGAAACAGTGCTGCCATGAGATACTTGCATAGTGAGATAAAAGTAACATTGAGCTAATTTTTTTTTGAAAATAATTAAATGGTTATTAATTTATCCTTGCTTAGAATTTTTAGAGAATTCTCTATGTTTTAAAACAAAGCAAATAGTAAAGACACATAAATAAGAGAAAGGATAAGTCAACTACGAGCAAATGGAAGGATACTCTTTGTATTCACTAGATTTATTTGGTTGCAACAGAAGCCGAATCTGGCTAACTCAAGGAAAGGGAAGAAGAGAAGTTTTCAGAAGAAGAGTCTCTGGGAGTTTCTCTGGTTGGAAGGAAGGGCCGAAGGACCAGGTAGAGGCAGACAAGATCAGGTCATGACAAAAGGTCTCCCAAGAAGACACTGTTTGGCAGTCCTACCCAGACTCCACTTGAGAAGTCTGAAAGAACTCTAAACATTGAGTTTTGTTTCTAGTGTCCACAGCTCAAGATTTAAAAGTCCCAGGAATCTGACTAGTCAAGTGGAGATCATATATATGCTTTCTCATGGCAGAACTCAGTCCGTTAGAGGAAGAATCTAACAGAAGAATCTCCAAGGACATGTTTGGATCCTGTTATGTGAGTGCTGACACTTGAATGTATTATCACATTAAGGCTGCACAGCACCTGGCGAAAAACTTTTCCGGAAGAAAGCTGGGATGCTGTGTGAAGTGGAAATGGACACAGAAGCTAAGAAATGACAAATGTTTATTACAGTTTCTAAGCATGAAAGCAAAGAGAGGAGGTGAGGATGCAGATATGGATAGATGCATGTGTCTGTATCCAAAATTATACTAAAGAACATTCATATATAGTTGGTCCTATTCACAAAAACTACGGTGAAGACCATTCCTTGTAGTATCTTCAGAATAGCAAAAGACTGGGAGGATGGTAAGGAATTCATATAGAAGTAAACAGGTCAAAGGAATTGTAGTATATATAATAGAACACCGTGATCTATTCTTTAAAGGCAGTATGTTTGCACGTGCTGATAATGAGTATACTCCAGGATACATTGGAAAGTATTAAACTGTAGAACGGAGTACATGCGTAATCTACCTCTGTAAAAGGACTTGTAAGAGAGAGGGAGGTGCAAATTTTATGCATGCACAAATGGAGTAATGGAGTTTGATTTTGGGATTAGGAAAGGTGGCCAGGAGTTTGGAAGATATAAAGAAAAAAACTTAGGTTTTCTCTATTTTTTGCACTCTTTGGTTTTTTAAAAAATGTGTACCTATCACCCTTCACATAAAAATTTGGTTATTGAAAAATTGTTAACATTTTTCCCAAAGATTACTCTTCTAAGAAGTTATCCTAATGAAATAAATTGAGCTAGAGGGAAATGTATACATTCAAGGATATTCATTTCATTATTATTTATAAAATAAGAAATTGATTAAATGAACGAGAAATTATAAAGAATTATCTGAAATTATCTAAAAGTAACTATAGCTATGAAAACATTTAAAATCATGCTCTAGAAGTATACTTGAAATGTGGAGATTAAAAAGAGATTTTTAAAACAATGTACACACATACAGAAAAATAGATATATATATACACATATATATATATACATATACACACACACATGTGTGAAACAATAGGCCACAACATACTTACTGGATGACAAGATTATGGGTGATTTTAATTTTCTTTTTTACACATTTTTGTGTTACCCAGATTTTCTGCAATAAACGTATTACTTTGTCAGAAAAACAGTCACTTAAAAGGCACACTAAAATATTAATTAGAAGATGATTTTTTAATGTGGAGAATTTAAAACTTTTATTTTTACAACTCAATACTAGATTAAATTATGGGTTTCTCTTGAATTTATTAGCAAGCTTAAATCTGTGCTAACTAAATTTTTGGCCCTTCTTTTTTTTTTTTTTTTTTTTTTTTGAGACGGAGTCTCGCTCTGTCGCCCAGGCTGGAGTGCAGTGGCGGGATCTCGGCTCACTGCAAGCTCCGCCTCCCGGGTTCACGCCATTCTCCTGCCTCAGCCTCCCAAGTAGCTGGGACTACAGGCGCCCGCCACTACACCCGGCTAATTTTTTGTATTTTTAGTAGAGACAGGGTTTCACCGTTTTAGCCGGGATGGTCTCGATCTCCTGACCTCGTGATCCGCCCGCCTCGGCCTCCCAAAGTGCTGGGATTACAGGCGTGAGCCACCGCGCCTGGCCAATTTTTGGCCCTTCTTAACGTTATTGTAAATATTAACGCTTACATTTCAAAGAGTGCCTATAGGAAAAGTTAAGTATTGTGGGAGGTATATTAAAGCCTTTCTCCTGTCTTAAAGAAATCACGGAACCTCTGGGAAATACAAAAACAATCATTATTTTTTAAGGTAGACATTGATACCATAACCCAGATTTTAAAAATTTGGCCCACTCACATGACCTTTTCAAAAGGAGACATATATGTGGCCAGCAAGCATATGAAATAATACTCAACATTATTAGTCATTAGAGAAATACAAGTCAAAACCACAGTAAGATACCATCTCACACCAGTCAGAATGGCCATTTTTAAAAAATCAAAAAATAACACATGTTGGCAAGGCTGCGGAGGAAAGGGAACATGTATACACTGCTGGTGGGAGCATGCATTAGTTCAGCCAGCGTGGAAAGCAGTGTGGCAATTCCTCACAGAGCTCAAAACAGAATAACTATTCAACCCAGCAATCCCATTATTGGGTATATGCCCAAAGGTATATAAATTTTTCTGTCATAAAGACACATGCATGCTTATGTGTGCATTGTAGCACTATTCACTATAGCAAAGACATGAATCTAAATGTCCATCAGTAGACTGGATTAAGAAAATGTAGTACATATACACCACAGAATACTATGCAGCCTTAAAAAAGAATGAGAGCATGTCCTTTGCAGGGACATAGATGGAGCTGGAGGCCATTATCCTTAGCAAACTAACACAGGGACAGAAAACCAAATACCACATCTTCTCACTTACAAGTGGGAGCTAAATGATGAGAACACTTGGACACAGAAACGGGAAAAACACACACTGGGGTCTACTTGAGGGTGGAAGGTAAGAAGAGGGAGAAGAGCATTAGAAAAAATAACCATTCGGTACTATGCTTAGTACCTGGATGACCAATTAATCTGTACATCAAATCCCTGTGACACAAGTTTACCCATAAAACAAACCATCACATGTACCTAGACCCTAAAATAAAAATTAAAAGAAAAAAAATTGGATCACTCAATGACAGATTTATCTCAGTGTCAAATCTGAAACACAGATGCATTCAAAAAGTCATGAAAAGCAATGTATGTTTCACTGAACACTGAAGACAATGAAACATGAATTACACTATACAACACATGGTACAATTTCTTCCCCAAATGCTCTTTGAGCATATCTTCCTCTCCTCAAATGTCTGCACCAACTCTCTCCTCTCCTAGGCATCTTTATAGAGTTCTGGCTTCTCCACGCCAGGATCTCTGCCTAAGCTCCTCCAATCTTTTCTTTCCTTTCAGATCATCCGTCTCCTATCAGTTCCAGAAATATCCATCCCATTTCTATATGCAGATAATTTTTGGTCTTGTAGGAGGAGTCTCTCTGTTCTTTTCTACACTTTTCCTCTCAGTCAGCACCACAGTTTACTCATCTGTAAAAATGTGGATTTTTTTTTTTTTTTTTTGAGATGGAGTCTCACTCTGTCACTCAGGCTGGTGTACAATGTTGAGATCTCAGCTCATTGCAACCTCCACCTCCCATGTTCAAGCAATTCTCCTGCCTCAGCCTCGTGAGTAGCTGGGATTACAGGTGCCTGCCACCACAGCTGGCTAATTTTTGTAGTTTTAGAAGAGACGGGGTTTCATCATGTTGGTCAGACTGGTCTCAAACTCCTGACCTCAGGTGATCCACCCACCTCGGCCTCCCAAAGTGCTGGGATTACAGGCATGAGCCACCGCGCCTGGCCAAAAATGTGGATATTAATACCAGTCTCTGATAGGTTAACTAAGACAACTATAGGACAATACCTGTCATATGGTTTATATGCAATACATATTCACTCAGTTCTTCAACTTTAACAGTTATGTTGAAGCTCTGTCAGCTTCTTCTCAATAATTTTTAGTCAAAATATAAGATGGTGCATTAAAAGCATTTCTACATCATTCTTCTCTGTGAATCCAACGTGCAAACAATAATAAGAACAGCAAATAAAATTCTAACTTCAATAGAAATAGGAAATAGCCACAACACTAACCCACAACTCTGAAGAGTAGCTATCAGACGGTATAATTTTAAGTGAGGAAAATGTTGTATAGTCATAAACTTTCAATATCACATGTATCTTGCTTGGAAAAGTCTTTTATTAGAAATGGTATTGCCCTGAAGAGAAATTCTTTTTCCTCCAGAAAGACATTGGGAAATAAGAATGAACTGTGTTCAACATTGCAAAATACCAGAAAAGGTAAGATTGAGAGAAAAATTTCACACGTGTTTCATATGAAAGAAACATGTACAAAATCCTTAAATAAGGCATGATGCACAAATTTAATACCAAGCCAAGATGCCATGCACATTTAAAAACAATAGAAAAAGAAATCTACATATTTATAGCCAATTGATCTTCAACAAAGCTGTCAAGAACATACACTGAGGAAGGACACACTATTCAATAAATTGTGCTGGGGAAATTGGATAACCATATGCAGAAGAATGACCCCTACTGCCCACCGTATACAAAAATCAACTTGAGATGGATTAAAGACTTAACTGTAAGACCTGAAACTATAAAACTACTAAAAGAAAACATAGAGAAGACTCTTTGAGACACTGATCTAGGCAAAGATATTTATGCCCAAGACCTCAAAAGCATGGGCAACAAAACCAGAAATAAACAAATAGCACTTAATTAAACTAAAAGGATTCTACACAGCAAAAGAAACAATCAACAGAGTGAAGAGAAGGTGGTGTTTGCATAATTTATTCTTTATGATCTACACAATGAACTGCATGCATTCATAGAGCAATAAGAGGATGTATTTCATGTGCCTTGTTTTTAACTGAATAATAATTGGAAGTATTAATAAATAAAACTAATTTAAATGGTAAACACAAAAAAGCATGCAAAGGATCTGAGTAGACATTTCTCCAAAAAAAAAGATATACGAATGGCCACTAAGCTCATGAAAATATGCTCAACATCATTAGCCGTCAGAGACATTTAAATCAAACCCACAGTGAGATCCCACCTCACATCTACTAGGATGATTATAATTAAAAGAGAGAGAGAGAATGATTGTTGGGCAGAGTACGTTAAAGTCAGAACCTTCATACACTTGATAGGAATGCAAAGATGGTGCAATCTCTTTGGAAAACAGCCTGGTATTTCAAGAGATTCTCTGTCTACATAGAGTTTCCATATGACTCAGCAATGCCACTCCTAGGAATATACTCAAGGAAAGTAAAACGTATGTCCACACAGAAACATGTACATGAATGTTCAAGGCAGCATTATTATAATCAAAATATTGCAACAGTTCAAATGCGCATCAAATGATGAATGGATGAATGAAATGTCTATCCAGACAATGGAATATAATTAGACAATAAATATAAACAAGATGCTGATTCATGCTACAGCATGTATGAATGTTGAAAGCATTATGCTAAGTAATGCTGAAAGGAGCCACAGATTATATGCTTCCATATATACAAAATATCAGGGATAGGCAAATCTATAGAAACAAAATGTAGATAAGTGATTTCCTAGGGCTGGGGTGCTGGAGGGATTGAGGGGGTGACAGCTTGGAGTGTTCTGTATCTTTTGGGGGTGATGAAAATGCTCTAAAACTGATTGTGGAGATGGTTACAGAATTCTGAATTACTTAAATCCAATTAACCATCTATGTTAAATGTGTGAATTGTATGGTATATGAATTGTATCTCAATAAAGCTGTTAAAAATAAACAATTTCAATTATTCAAGATCTCAGGGACTATAAGTATGAATGAGGCTTTCTTGGGGGAAAAAAATGATACCAACAAAATCTCTCCATCCACGCAAGTTACTTCTGTGTTGTTCCTGCATCTCGCTAACAAAACCCTCTGGATCTGGCTTCCTGTAACAGTTTAGTGCCCTCAGGAATCAACATGTCTTTCCCAAGTCAGACTGGAGGCAGAAAACTCCAGGAGCTGCTGTGCTGTGCCAAGCCAGCTCCAGCACAGAAATATCATTTCACTGCACCGACACCATGCTGGGAAGTGTTTTCAAGTCTTCTGCGTTGCCCAGCCATGCAGCCCTTTCAGTGCTGTCTGGATGGCAACCTTATGAGACCCTGAGCAGAGAGCCCACCTCCACTGTGTCCAAACACCTGCCCCACAGAAACTCTGAGATCATAGATGTGTGTTGTTTTAAGCTGCTGAATTTGTGACGATGCGCTATGCAACAGTAAAAACTAACAGGGTATTTTCTCTTGGAAATACTGATTGAAGCTCCTTAGATACCTTCTGTGTTCCCTCGACTTCCCGATTTGTCGCTGAAGCCTCAGCTTGGGTCAAAGCATCCAAGGTCTCCAGAGTCAGTTCGTCTGCCAAGTGTGTTGGTATTGGCAAGGAGTTTTGCTACAGCTAGGGCATCTAACAACACTCAACACATTTCTTCAGTTACTCTGCAGAGATGAAATTAGGGCTCCATCTCAGGCCAAGAAAATAATTTCCCACCTGTACATAATAAAGGCTGGGCTTGTACATTCAACTACATAGTGTTAGGAAAAAATCACAGGCTACATTGACTTAATAAAATAAATGTGGAATATGGGAAACAAATCAGGGAGTAATTTTGGCAGCTTAAAATCTTCAGTTGTGCTTGCTGGCTCTTCCCTCATTTAAATGACATAGAAAGCAACCTCTTAAAAAGTTCTCACTGCCCAAAAAATATTATCAAAAGAATGTTGACTCTTGCTACATGGCTTATATTTCAGAGCTGCTCGTTTTGAGGAGGTCAAAGGGGAAGAGCTACAGAGGAATTCTTATTTTCAGTTTTATTTATTTTATTTAACTTTTAAAGTTCAAAGCCATAAAATAATTTTACCACCTGAATGTCCTCTTCAACGCTCCTCTTCAATGCAATGCAAACTGAAAATTAGAACAATTTACTTTAGTTTTAGTTAAATTCTCCTACATTCTTGTTGAAGTACTTCAAATCCCAACAACTTTTTAGCTTACTCTTTTGCTTTATTAATTTTATTGATATATAATAGTTATACACATTTATGGGGTGCCTATGATATATTGATACATGTATACAATATATAATGATAAAATCAGGATAATTAGGGAATAAAATCAGGTCAAACATTTATCTTTTCTCTGTATTGGAACATTCCAGTTCTTTATCTTCCAGCTACTTTGAAATGTATAATACATTATTATTAACTATTATCTCTCTACTATTAAATGCTAGAACTGGTTGTCTTCTAACTATATTTTTGTGCCCATTAAGCAACTTCTCTTTATCCTCCCTCCCTTACTGTTTTTAAAAAGGAATTTATTAAGAAACGACACTTTATTTCTGCAAATATTTGATTTGGTTCTCTACAATCCTTCAAAATCAGTATTAAGTCTAGACTTGCTAATTAATGTATATAAGAAGACAATATACATTCACCAGTTTGTTGTATACGCAACTCTGGAGTTCGCAGTAGAATAACCAAAGCCAAAGACTGAATTCTAATATTTTAAGGTGACAGCATAATAAATTAATTAGTAGGTATCAAGTTCCTATAGGGTATAACACTGTGGCATAAATATATAAGCATGTTTCCAATTACGTGGGATAATTTCTAGTCTTAAATATTATTTAGGGTGGACAAGGCAACAGAAGACTAGATAGGATAATGGAAGTGAATGAAAGAAACTTGAACTTCATGCTTTGTGTATATTTATGGAGAGACCTTGAATCTGAATCAAACTGTGTGTCATTGAAATGAACAATAATTTTAAAACAAAGGATATAGTTAATACATTTAACACTAGCTCAAGAGCTAAACGTCTTTCTGCATCAGTACAGCAAATGTTTACCAGGGAGCCTGAATAAGTTTTTTTTTCTCAAAGATGCTTTCTCAGACCCAGAAAGTAGTAAGTAAATCCTCTGAAACAGTTAAGTACAAAGTATACAGGGAAGATGCTGTTTCCCAAAGAAGCGATCTGTGGAACACTGTTTTGGAATAGTGGATTCCGTGGTCATACAAGTAAAGATATCCTCTGATGGATCATAGTACATACACATTGGCATTGTAAAGATGCTGAGAAGTCCTGGATAGCAGACCTCTGTAGCTTTGTTTAACACGGTATTTTCAAATGTAGAAATATACTTGAAAGATTTCTAGAACACTTTTTTTGTTTAAGACAGGGTCTTGCTTTGTCACCCAGGCTGAAGTGCAGTGGCACAACCACGGCTCACTGCAGCCTCATCCTCCTGGGCTCAAGTGATCCTCTTGCCTCAGCCTCCCAAGTAGCTGGGACTACAGGCATGTGCCACCACATTTGCTAAATTTTTTATGATTGTTTGTAGAGACAAGATCTGGCTATGCTGCCCAGGCTGGCCTCAAACTCCTGGGATCAAGCAGTCTTCCCACTTTGGCCTCCCAAAGTGCTAGGTTTACAGGCATGAGCCACCATGTGCAGCCTAGAACACTTTCAAAGGCATATTTATTAACATGCCTCAGAACAATTTTCTGCAGAACGGTGTCCCACAGGACATGTACAGTCAAGACTAGAGTGTAGACACACACTGTACACACAATGTACAGTCAAGACTAGAGTGTAGAAAGAGCCCTGAATAAGCTTTAGGTCCCAAATGGTGTAAATCTACAACTATTTTCTCACTAAATTATCAAATACATATATATGTATATACGCCCATATATGTATAGACATATATATACACACCCATATATGTATAGACATATATATACACACCCATATATGTATAGACATATATACACACCCATATATGTAGACATATATACACACATATATGTATAGACATGTATGTACACACCTATATATGTCTAGACATATATACACCCCTATATATGTCTAGACATATATATACACATATATATCCTTCCTCTTTCATATATATGTATATATATGACTATGTATATATATGAAATAGGAAGGAGAAGAAGAGAAAGAAGAGAAAAATGAAGATAAGAATTCAAACAACAAAAACTAAAACTGACCAGCTATTTTAGAGTCTGGAAAGAATAATACTACAGCCAGTTTGGAGAACAGCCCAGCTTTGAATACTGCAACAGAAACCACCTGGATAATATTTCATATATTTTCCAACTTTGTCTCAAAACTCAGATACTTAGAGACTCTTCCACCATGAGATCTAGCAAGCGTATATTCCTACCTGTAGGTGCCATGCTGCATGGTGGATTCCGTATTATTTTCTCCATTCTTGCTCACTCTCTTAGCCTTTTCATCCACCCACTCTTCACTTCCTTGCAGAAAAATGACATGATTTAGCAAGGAGCCAATGTCTTGGTAGTGAAATTCATATTCAAAGTGTACAGCCAAAGTGGAATTCTGAAGGCAGCTAAAAAAGAATCCTAGTATAACTGTGTAGAAATTAGAGATCTGTGTACCCTGTCAGAGTTTTTACAAACCAGAGAGCTGGACAATGCTGCTTCCATTGATCAGAAGAAAAATATGGCTGGAAACTAGAGAATCAACCAGGACCTGTAAGTTTCAGCCTGCGTTACTGTTGTAAATCAAAGGAAGAAATAAAGCACCCAACAGTCCAGCAAAGAGAAAGATGAAAAGTCATTTGCCCTTAGATTGATTTACAAATATTGAGTCAGAAAAGATTGCTTCATTTGAGCATGAGTAGGCGGTAAAGTAACATGGGAGACAAGGGAAAACCTGTGGATTAAACAAAGAAGAACAAGTGAAAAACTGTTCGGTAGCCCCATAGAATATGGGATGATATATTCATTAATAAACTAGAATCGAATGTCATAACTGTCTAGGAATAAAAAATAATCAGATTTTTTAAAGAGCAGAAATAAAAAGAAATGAATACAAGGATAATCAAAATTAAATAAAAGTAAAAAGCAAAATTCAGGTTGCAAACAATCAAAACAGTGATATAGAGAATAGTTATCCCAAATGCAAAAGGAAAAAAAAAAGTGAGTATCATGGTGGGGGTGGTGGAAATGCAATATATTTTAATGACAGACACAGGCAACCCAACGAATAGAAGGCAGAGGTGAGAGGGCTCCTTCCCCTTGCTGATGTCCCCTGCAAGGGAGAGCTCTACTCACAGAGCACCCCGGCCTCTGGGGTCCCTCCTCCTTCCCAGATGAAAGGGATAGTAAATTCATTTCAGAGTGCTATTATCATTTAACGCCTTGGGCAGGGAACTCTGAGAAATAGGTAAGGATCTGAATGCAAGAACTAAAGTAGCAAGATGGAGGGGCCAAACGGAGCCAGGGAACACAACTTCGTTTTTGGACTTTAAACAGTCTTAGCAGTCTGTAGAGACCTCACTGAGCCATGGGTCTGAGTTTTTACACTCATTGATGTGGTTTGGCTGTGTTCCCACTCAAATCTCATCTTGAATTGTAGCTCCCATAATCCCTATGTGTCATGGGAGGGACCCAGTGGGAGGTAATTGAATCATGGAGGTGGGTTTTTCCCGTGCTGTTCTTGTGATAGTGAATAAGTCTCACCGAATCTGATGGTTTTATAAAGCACAGTTCCCCTGCACACACGCTCTTGCCTGCCACCATGTAAGTAAGACGAGCCTTTGCTCTTCCTTTGCTTTCTGCCATGATTGTGAGGCCTCCCCAGCCACGTGGAACTGTGAGTCTCTTAAACCTCTTTTGCTTTATATATTACCCAGTCTCGGGTACGTCTTTATTAGCAGTATGAGCAAAGACTAATAGAGTCAAAATTTTAGATTTTATTCTGTGTTTAGCACGGTACTATGAAGTTGTGCATTTGATGATCACTGAATCTCAAGGCAGCTTTATCCAGACAGTGGCTACTTTACTGAGGCAGGGTTGCATTTGCCAGACCATAAATATACAACTCGTGGCCATGACCTGCCTTATGTAGTACCAAAGCCCTTACCTGACGTGTAGGCTCTAGAAGCAATGTGGGTCACAGCAGAGGTGCTGGACACAATGAGGCTTCACAGATGCTGGCCATCAGGTATCTAAAAAGCAAACCCTAACACACAGGTCAGAATACCAAGGCCAGCCAGGATGGCATCAACCAGACCTCAGGTAGCCTTAGAGTGGAGACTTGAAATTCACAGGGACTGTCTGGCATTGCAAACTTGGCAATACAGTTTGCCTCATATTACGAGTCCTAATGAGGCAGAATTAGATATTTCTAGATGTGGGTAAGCAGAAAAATATTTATTTTAAGGCAGCTGGGTTCTACATGTACTATGAAACATTTGTGACGTTCTGAGGTGAAAATATTAATGTTGGATTTCGGAGGATTGGGACCTCCTGAATAGCTGAGTGAGGACCTCATTGTAACAGAGAAAAAGATGGATGGCATCACAATTTCTCATACAAAGCAAGAATAACCTTGCTTTAAAAAAAATCAGGCAAAGGTAGAAACAATAAATGAATAAATGTCACCTGTGGATATACATGCAAAATCTTAAGTAAAATATTAGAAGTTAAATGAAAACATGTGTTTTTCATAAATGTATATACACTCAGGTGTGGCATAGTGATGTTTTGGTCAATAATAGACCACTTACATGATGGCGATCCCAAAAGATTATAATACTATATTTTTACTGTACCTTTTTTATGCTTAGATATATTTAGATACACAAATAATTACTGTTGTGTTCACAATTGCCTACAGTATTCAGTAAAGTAACCTGCTGTACAGGTTTGTAGTCTAGGAGCAATAGGCTATACCATCTAGCCTAAGTGTGCAGTAGGCTGTAGCATCTAGGTTTCTGTAAGTATACTCTGTGATATTCGCACACTGACGAAATCTCCTAGCCATGTTGCTCAGATACACCCGTGTCATTAAGTGATCCATGATTGTATAAAGTTATGTGTATATATAAAAATTCATATGTAAATATATACAAAATTTATGTAAGAATATAACACATTTTAATACATATAATGTATACAAATCATATATATATAATACATACACACAGCATGGTCACACAGAACTATTCTCATCATTCAAAGAAGGTATAGTAATAGGAAATCTATTACTATAATTAAACGTGTGAGTGAAGGAAAATAATAAAAGTAATCCGATAGATGCCAAAAAGCAATGGATAAAAAGTCAAGATTTATTTCTACTTTTTAAAATAAACACTTTAAGTAAACTGGAATTAATACAATAATTTCTTTAAAAGATACATAATATCTGCCTGAAGGCCTTTTATTAAAGATGGTGAAGAGAATTCACATGGAAATCTTGCTTCCCTCAAAATTTGTAGCAATGGTAGGTAAAGTATGTATTTTAAAATTAAAATTAACGTAGTTACCCTCAAAAACACATCTGGACCAAAACCAATAGCACCAAGTAGTAACTGGGGGCTAAGATTGAGGGTCAACTGGTTTTGGGGACCAACAGTGGTACTGGCTATCTGGAATTCATCTTCTGTGAAGAGCAAGGACCAGAAGTGCTTGTTGTAGAAAAATCTGTGCAGAAGAATTCCAAATAATTTATGTAGACATTCTGCCTTCAAGCAGGGAGAATACAGTTCCCCTGCTCCTTAAGTAAGGGCTAAACATAGTGACTTCCTTCCAAGAGCACCATATGGAAAGAGGGAAAAAAAGGGCCGGGTGCTGTGGCTCATGCCTGCAATCACAGCACTGTGGGAGGCCAAGTCTTGCGGATCACCTGGGTTCAGGAGTTTGAGACCAACCTGGCCAACATGGCGAAACCCTGTCTCTACTAAAAAACACAAAAATTAGCCCAGTGTGATGGCCTGCATCTGTAATCCCAGCTACTTGGGAAACTGAGGCAGGAGAATTGCTTGAACCCAAGAGGCAGAGGTTGCAGTGAGCCAAGATCATGCCACTACACTCCAGCCTACATGACAGAGTGAGAGTCTGTCTCAAAGTAAGAAAAAAAAAAAGGGAGTGAGGGTGGGGGAAAGAATAACCTTACAGTGAAAAAGCCTGACAAACATGACATCAGCCAGGTGACAGAGGTAAATATCAGCAATGAGAGTGACAAGGTGTGTTGATAGCATGTGTTCTTGACATAATGGGATAGAAACGTCTCTTTACTTCTGTAGTCTTCCCCCCCACCAAAACTCATAACCCTGTCCAATCACAAGCAAAACAGCAAACAATCCCAGTTGAGTGATGTTCTACAAAACAACTGACCAGTCCTCCTCAAAACTGTCAAAGTCATCAAAAACAAGGAAAGTCTGCGGGACTGTCACGTCCAGCAAGAGTCTAAGAAGACACAACTAAATATAATATGGTATTCTGATGAGATCCTGGAACAGAAAGGGGATATATTAGGTTAAAAAAAAAAACTCAGGATGTCTAACGAACTATGGATTTTAGTTAATAATGTATCAATACCATTTCATTAATTGTAAGAAATACACCATACATGTCAGTACCAGGAGAAACTGGATATGAGGTACGTGGGAACTCTCTGTATTATTGTTGCAAGTTTTCTATAAACCTAAAACTATTCTAAAATTAAAAGGTTTTTCTTGAATAAAATGTCCCCACAGTTTGAGACAAGCTAGATGACCAAATGATTTTTTTAAAGTGTGCTTTCATCTTGCAAACACACTGGCATTGTTTCCAGGAAATTCACAAATTAAATGTAAAGATTGAAATTTACAAGGATAAAATATGCATGGATATTTGTAAAATATGGAAAAACATTTTCCAAAAACAACACCAAAAACAGCAATTAAAAGATGAATATATAAAATAGCCATAAGTTTGACCATATAAGAAATTATTCTAATGTATATGTGAAATTACAATGAACAGATTGAACATATTTACCATATAAATGACAAAGAGTTTCTTTAATATACAATGAGCTCTTATGAATCAGTTTTTTAAAAAAGACACATCCAAATACAAAAGTGGACAAATATTAGAACGCAAATACACTACTTACTGAAGTAGAAAGACAAGTGACAACTAAGTATACTGTAAAGATTAACGTCATAAATTTAAAAGAATTTAATAGGGAGTGCAGTAAAAATTTTTCCACTTATATTAGCAAGGATAAAAAGAGTGATAATAAGCCAGGCATAGTGATGTGCACCTGTAGTCCCAGCTACTCTGGAGGCTGAAGTGAAAGGATATCTTGAACACAGGAGCTCAAGGCTGCAGTGTGCTGTGATCATGCCTGTGAATAGCCACTGCACTCCAGCCTGGGCAACATAGTAAGACCCCCATCTCTAAGAATAATAGTAAGAAGCATAATACCCACCAAGGAAATCATCATTCTCATACGCTTATGATATCAACTTAACGTTCAAGACTTTCACAATCATTATTAGACCTAATATATCTGAAAAAGACATTATTTCTAGTTTCAGTGCAGTTGTATGACTAAATCAAGTTACAGAGCTGTGTTCTGTATCAAATGCTTAACACTGTTTAAACATGTATTAAAATCTATTAAAGCCACTACCGAGGTTTTAAGAAGTTTCCTTTAACTAACAGCGCTGTCTCTGGTTACAGAAGATATTTGTTCTCTAGGTATGCTGCCCCTCAAATACAAAATAAATTAACACCTGTACTATGTGTTTTCGTACTTCCAAAATTATGGTGGGCTTCAGGGTTTTCTGTTCTCAAAGTCATTCGCCAGGAAAATAAACATGTCTGACACAGCAGATCTCAAAAATATTGGATGGCTGATGGATGAATGGGTGGGTGGATGGATGAGCGAGCGGGTGGATGGATTAATGAGCAGGTGGATTAATGGATGGATGGATTAATGGGCGGATGGATGAATAAATGAGCCAATGCACCAAACGTGTTTCTTTAAAATCACTGTGATCATATCCTCACTCAAATTCATCAGCTTCTAATTGTGACATGATCATTAGACCATTGATGACTGGAAAATTCTCACCAAAAAAAAAAAAAAAAAAAAAAAAAAACAGTTAAAAAAAGGCAGAAGCAGAACATTTGTTAATTTTATTAAAAAAAATTTTTTTAACAGTTCTGTTGTCTGAAACTAAATGAAAAATATAATCTAAAAGTAAAATTAACATTAGCAAGGCTTTGCGTTAAACACTAAAAAGTCTTGTGATAAAAGCAGTGCAAAAAAATTTTTAAACATTAAACGCTCTAAAATTATTTAAGTAGGATTCCAAAGAGACTTACATACATCTCTAAATCAATATACATCTTAATTCATAATATACCTAAATATAATATGACAAGTTTTAATATTTTGAGGACTGTTTTATATCTTAAGGGAATTTAAAGTTTACCTTAGAAGAAATAATCAATACTTTTCAAAATAGACCATAAAAATAACACGGGCATCCTTTTGATCCTCATGGGTATACTTTATTTGTCCTTGAAAAAATATATATATCCAGTGTACCTTTCAGAATGATTTATTAGGTGTTATTGTTACGGTGTTCAATATTGTTCAATACTGAACTACTATACTGATTACCACTCTCCACTCTGTTTTAGTTCTATCATGTGCTTTTATTTACCTCCTGAGGCAAAAACATTTTAATTGGTTTAGAGAAGCTTGAACTCTCTTTTATCAATGACAGATTTCATCAAAATGAAACTAACCCAGTAGCCATAGTCCCAGGGCAGAAAAACCATGATCTACTTTGAGTTTCCAAGGTTTAAGACTTATAAACCAACAGTTTAGAAATAAAAAGGAAAATAAAACCTCTTTGTAATCTAAGAACTTTATTGTAATCTAAGCACTTTTACACTTGCACATACAAGTGCACACAGATGTGAATAGCACTGAGCTATAATTTTAAGGAAATTTTAATATGTGTAAAACAGAATGTCTACAAAAGTCTTTAACATAGCAAAACTAACTGGTCTATAATTCTAACTTAGGAAAAGTAGATGAAACTAGTTCTTCTACTTTGCTTTGTTAGTGGGCTGCTTGCCAAATTATCCACACTGTAAATTTATGAAACACTGCAGTCAATTTTGAAATAATTTACAGTTACAGTAAATCTTGCTAACAGCATAAACTTAGGCAAATGGTGCATTATTTTAATAGATCTATATTTCTTTGAGTATTCATTTCACAGTGTTCCATTATTTATGAACAATAGTACAAGAAATAATTTGCTCATTGCACAGAAATTGTATTTATTTAAGATTTTACTCCCATATAGGTTTCACTGTTCCAGAATCTGAAGCTGAGTTTTAATTTGCACAGAGCCAGATATTAATTATAATGCACGTGCAAAATAAATACTAACCACAGTGATAGATAGCCATCTTTGCTGTCACTTAAAAAAATACTCATTTTATTGAGGTAAAAACATTTGACATGAGAGGTACCCTCTTAAATTTTTAAGTGTACAAGATGGTATTATCAGAAAAATCCCAAAAGATACAAGTATTGGCAAGGATGTGGAAAAAACTGGAACCCTTGTTCACTGTTGGTGGGAATGCACAATGGTACAGTAGCTATGGAAAACAGTATGGAAGGCCCTTAAGAAATTAAAAATAGAAATATTTTATGATCCAGCAATCTCACCTCTAAATATTTACCCAAGAAAATGAAATCAGGATCATGAAAGAATATTAGCACTCCCAAGTTTATTGCAGTTGTGTTCACAATAGCTAAGATGTGAAAATAATGTCCTTTGACACATGATTGGCTCTCATTTCTGCCAAGGAAGCTGACAAGAATCAAAAGCCACTAGACACAGAAAAGCCCATAGAGATAAAACCAAGCTCTCCCAGTCAACCCATGACAAAGAAGGACAGCTCTTCCTTGCACTGAATTCTAGTGAAATTAGTAGTACATATAAACCCAGTGGGAGTGCAGCACATAGGGAAAGTAAAATGGGTTGCTTAAAGTGGATCTCTCTCTGTCAGTCAGAGAAAAACTTGAGAAACACAGATGTTGACCTTTATATTATCCCTGAAAAATTAGAGACTTTCCAGTACAGAAAGTTTATTCCAAAGATCAAAGTCAACTCATTATGTAGTTGTGTTACAAGTAACACTGCATTATTTCAGTGAATTGGTGAAAGAAATTATTCTCTTCTATAAGGCACATTAATGGTTAGGTAGAAATGTAAGGTTGTCTCTGTAATGTAACATGAAGGATACAGAATGTCTACGCTCACAATACATATTGCTTGTACATTTATATATCATTCAAATGCACTAAATATACACCTGTATCCAATACTTCATTATTTTGAGTTAGTAGTCTTTATTTAAAAAAAACTTCTATGAAGGTATACTTCACAGAAGGCATCCACAGATAAAAGTGTCTAAAACAGATACTTGATTGATTTTTCTATGGATACCTATAGATATCCATAGATAAATCAATCAAGTATCTGTTTTAAACAACTTTCGAAAGGAGACATACATGTAGCCAACGATTATATTTTTAAAAAGCTCAACATCATTGATCATTAAAGAAATGCAAATCGAAACCACAATGATGTACCATCTCACACTAGTCAGAATAGCTATTATCAAAAAGTCAAAAAATAACAGATGCTGGCGATGTTGCAGAGAAAAATAAATACTTATACACTGTTGATGGGAGTGTAAATTAGTCCAACCATTGTAGAAGATCGTGTGGCAACTCCTCAAAGACCTAAAAACAGAAATATCATTCGACCCAGCAATCCCATCACTATAACCTAAAGGAATATACATCTTTCTGTCATAAAGACACATGCATACGTATGTTTATTGTAGTACTATTCACAACGGCAAAGACATGGAATCAACCTAAATGCCTATCAATGGTAGACTAGATAAAGAAAATGTGGCATTACACACGTATACCATGGAATACTATGCAGCCATAACAAAGAATGAGATCATGTCCTTTGCAGTCAGATGGATGAAGTTGGAGGCCATTATCTTTAGCAAACTAACACAGGAAGAGAAAATCAAATACTGCATGTTCTAATTTATAAGTGGGAGCTAAATTATGAGAACACATGGACACATAGAGGGAAACAACACATGCTGGGGCCTTTTGGAGACTGGAGGGTGGGAAGAGGGAGAGGATCAGGAAAAAGAACTAATGGGCACTATGCTTAATACCTGTGTGACGAAATAATCTGTACAACAAACTATAACACAAGTTTACCTACCCTGCCCGTGTACTCCTGAACTTAACAGATTTTTGTTTTGAGATGGAGTCTTGTTCTGTCACCCAGGCTGGAGTGCAGTGGTGCAATCTCGGCTCACTGCAAGCTCTGCCTCCCAGATTCACGCCATTCTCCTGCCTCAGCCTCCCGAGTAGCTGGGACTACAGGCGCCCGCCACCATGCCCTGCTAATTTTTTTGTATTTTTAGTAGAGACGGGGTTTCACTGTGTTAGCCAGGATGGTCTCGATCTCCTGACCTCGTGATCCGCTCACCTCGGCCTCGCAAAGTGAGATTTTTTTTAAAAATCTGTACTACGCAAGGCATTGTGAAAGATATTGATATTCCTTCTCTTAACAGAAGCTAATAGTTTTGTTGGAAAAAACAAGATAAACCCATGAAACAACATCAAAAAAAAAAATCACATTTCATAAACTTTTAAATGTTATGGTCCCAACCCCAAGTCAGCAAACTTTTTTGGCAAAAAGCCAGACAGTAAATATTTCAGGCCTTACAGGACACAAGGCTTTTCTCAAGAGCGTTCAAGTCTCCTGTTGCAGCACAAAAGCAACTGTAGACGATCCTACATGAATGGATTTATCTGTGTTCCAGTAAAGCTGTATTTATTTATAAAAACATCCAGTGGGATGGAATTGTGACTGCCAAAGTAGTTTACTGACCCTAGGACTATTTTATAAGTGCTTTTTTCATTATGTTAACAGTGTCTTTGGAAAGGCAAGAGTTTGTTTGACTTAGTAGAGTCAATTTTACCAACTTTTTAATTTTAGAGATGTGATTTTGTGTCCTTTTCAGGAAAACTTTTCCTAATCGATGCCTCAAGGAACACACATCAAAATTACCAAGGGCCAGGTTGAAGAGTCTTCCACTGGTCAAAATTTTTACAGTTTGATTATTAAAAAAATAGGTTAATGATAGGATTGTTGAACATTCAATATTGAATTAATAAAAATCTATGAATCCCTAATAATCAAAAAAGGAAAACAATCAGAAAAAAATGCATTTCGCCCTTTTTGCTGGCTACTAATTTCTTTCTTTGAAAGTTAGAAATCAAAGGATAAAACTAAATGCTTGTATCTTTGTCTTTCCAATAGGAATTGTTTTTCCAAGTAACCAAATAACGCCAGTTCACGAGGGAAAACTATAGAAGTCTGCCAGCTAAAATAACCCATAAAAGGAAGGAAAAATTAGGAAAAATATAATTATTTTGCAATGTCTAGTGAAATTTTATATTCAGACAATGATTACAAATTGATTTTAAGATCATTATGTCAATATTTGGGAACTGGATGCATATATGATGCCAAAGTGTACCACACAGGCTATTTTCTGGTTGTAAAGGGAAATTCTAATGTACAATGAAGGGACAAGGTTATCATCACTCTAATATGATGGTCAATTTTGAGTTTCAATGATGGCAGTATGACTAATATGTATTTATAGATATAATACAGTATGAAATACGCATCACTTATGATGTATTCTATCTAAAAATGTTTAACTAGAATCTAATCAAGACTTTGAAACTAAGTTTCAAGTTACAGAAAACGCAAGGTATTGAGTTGTAAGTTAAATGACATCATGAGGAAGAAATGAGACAAGGTCCAAAAGGTAGACTATTCAACAAGACAATTGGTCAAGTCCCTGTGTTATGAATTGCTTTTGACCAAAAGAGGCATAAGGGACGTGACAATCACTTGCAGTATAGGACCCTGGATTCAACAGTGTTTGCACAAATGAACTGTGAAGGACATTTGGAGAATAATTGGAAGAGATTTAAATATGGATCAGCTATTAGATTACACAAAGGAATTATAGATTTTTTAAATATGATAGTTATTTTGTCTATGTGGTAATATGTTTTTAGGAATGCATATTAACTTCTTATTGGTGAGATGTTGTAACATCAGTAGTTTCTTTAAATGCTTTAGAGCCCTTTTTAACCTTTTAACAAGGGTTCAAGAAAAATCAAAATGTCCTCCGTCCAACTTTGCCATGTGTTCCCATGCTCAAATCCCTATCCCACTGTATAGCTCACATTGTATTTTCTCCATGACAATTATCATTAACTGGAAAGACTTTGGTTGGTTGGTTGCTTGGTTGGTTGGCTGGCTGGCTGGTTGGTTGGTTTTCCATCTTCCTCCTCCAGAATGTAATCCCTATGACAGGTAGGATCTCACCTGTCATATTTACAGTTGTATTCTTGAAGAAATACACGACAGATAGTAGATGCTCAGTAAACGTTGTTAGATTTTTTTAAAGGTGCACTCGTACTAAATCTCGGTTGACACTGTATTTGTGAAAATTTCATTTAGAAGACTTCCTTTGCTTATTAGATATGTGGTTTCCTGTGGAAATGTGTTGACAGAATTGGGAAGGGATGATTTTTTATTTAACATATGAATGAAGCTTACACTGTGTACTGCCAGTTAACAAACAAAGAGAGAAAAATGATGGAAAGATGTGGGATCCTAATTTAATGTTATTTGAAATCACATGTGAACAGTCTGCTGTGCTCAGCTGGAAGACATCTCTATGAAGTTCAAGAGCTGAGCCTTTCAGCACCTGTTTCTGAGCTATAACCTGTTTACACTTTTCATAATAAGATGAAACACAATGTTTTCAGAAAGCCAGTACAAGAGAATTCTAAACATATCCTGTTGGAATTAAATCTTCAGTCCTAAAAATAAAGCTTGCAGTGCTCAGATGAAAGAAAATTAAAACATTTTATTTAAAAAAATACGACACTGAAAATCATAATCTGAAGTAACTGTACCAGTGTGAATAGGAATATTTTTCTGTCTACAGGAGGCATATATTATATTCAAGATCAGATTTAAATTTATAGACTACAGAAACTCTGGATCAAAAAATACTAGTAACATATTTTTGTCATAAATAAAGAGACTGGATCTCAGAGGAAACTAATAGTAAGACCACATGCTTATTTTTTATGACTTGACATTGAAAAAATCTGCCTTAATAAAGGCCACCCAAAGAAGTCCGCTGGGTGATGTGTCCGATGGCAGCATCTCCAATGAATTACCCTTTATTTCTTACTCTAGTCCAAAGATAGAGAATTAGGAGTAAGCATCACTGGTACCAACATTGCAACAGGAAGGCAGTGGTTTCATAACCATGTTTTCACGAGTCTAATTTTTTACAGTAAGAATTCTGCCTCCCTTCTGGGTTTAGTTGTCATCAAAAGGGAAGATAAAAAGGAGTATAGAAACACTCAGTGTAAGATATAGTCAATAATGAGAACTCAAATCTGTCTTCTCGCCCAAGTCACAGTAACTACATCTATTCAAAAAATGTTTAATAAGCTTTGACTATTCATCAAATACTATACCAGGAGCTGGAGAATACAAAGAATGAAAGGAACATGGTATTTGTCTTCAAAGGGCAAATATTGTAGTAGAAAGTGTCCTGTTCCCATTGTAAGTCCAAGAAGCTTGATGGAAGGGGTAAAATATATCCTAAAGTTATGTTGAATTACAGCAGAAGGTCAAAGTTTTAATAGTGGTGTTTTTCATAAGAGGTACAAGGTAATCTGTTAAGTAACCTAATAATATGTTAATGTGTGTATCATCCGGAGCTTGATAAGACAAAGTTAAAAAAAAAATCAAAATTTAAGGCACTATGCAAAGTGCTTTAATTAATTAATTTTTTAATAGTGGTGCTTTTCATAAGAGGTACAGGGTAATCTGTTAAGTAACCTATTAATACATTAATTTATGTATCATCTGGAGCTTGATAAGCCAAAGTAAAAAAATTTATCAAAATTTAAGACATATTATGCAAAGATAATAAAAGTATTAGAGTCATCACCCTACTTACTCATTGATGTTAGTGTAATTTTGTTCAAAAGTGTACACCTTAAAAAACTATACAAGTATCTAAAATATGCAAATGAATAAAGGTAAAAATAAGCAACTAACATACCAATATTAAATAGGGTTTGCTTCAGAAATGCAAGGAGACCTCCATGTAACTTACCATATTAGTATAACCATCTATATGGATGCCACAAAATTTCTGAAAGAATCATCACCCATTTATAACAGAAAGAAATTTTCTTGCCTTGATAAAGAGTATCCAAAACAAATAGCAAATTCTAACAGTTTTCCCTCTGTCTCCTGTATAACAAGCAGCATCTGTCTTCTGCGTTCTCTGTGAAGATTAAATAAGTTAGTACATACAAAGCATTTAAAATAGTGCTTGATACATGAATAATAGTCTTTGTACACAGCCTGTGGGAGCCAGAGTGTGCAAAAAGGGACCTTGTCCTCTGAGTATTGGGGATCTGTAGTTTCCTTACTAATTGGTGTTTCTAATCACAGAGATACAAAGAGGCGGTGGCCATTGGGTTTGCTCCTTCATATATTGTTGCAGGCTCCTTCCCCTCTGGATGAAGTGACTGCTGGGTGACTTAAAGGGATAGTACCCATCCTCCCTACCTTTATTATTTTTGTTTTTCCCTTTGGAGAGCCAGACATAAAAAATCAGAACATTCAAACACAATGTCATATATGGGGAAAATTAAAAAGTGAACACACATGCCCATGGAAAGGTGCAGGCTCAGAAAGACTTGAGAAGACCCTTAAGTTTATGCCTCAGGCTTATTTATCCATGGCACAGAGACAGCCTACAATAATTAAAAAAAATAGCAAACCCTAGGGAAGGTGGAGTATCTGATTGCCAGAGTTACCAGATTATTACATTCAAACGCACAGTTTTCAACAGCAACAACAAAAAAACACAAAGCATACCAAGAAACAGGAAAGTATGACCCATTCAAAGGAAAAAAAGTAAATTAACAGAAACTGTCCTTAAAAGACCTGGTAGCAGATCTACTAGACAAAGACTTTAAAATAACTCTTAAATATGCTCAAAAAACTAAAAGAGCATGTGGAGAAAGTCAAGAAAACAATGTATGAACAAAATAAAAATATCAATAAAGAGATTTAAAAACTAAGAAAAAACAAAAGGAAATTATTGAGCTGAAAAGTACAATAACTAAAATGAAAAATGCACTGGAAGCATTCAAAAACAGATGTGAGTAGCCAGAATAAAGAATCAATGTACTTGACAATAGAGCAATGGGAATTATCAAATGTAAGGGATGGGGAAAAAAAGATTGAAGAAAAGTAAGCACAGCTTAAAAGACGTGTGCCTACGGGACACTATCAAGAGGACCAACATACAGACTGCGGGGGTCCCACAAGTAGAAAAGAGAAGGAAAAAGGCAGAGCATTTAAAGAAATAATGGTTGAAAACCTGTCACATCTGATGAAAGACATAAACCTGCAAGAAGCTCCACAAACTCCAAGTAAGATGAACTCAAGGAGACCCACCTCAAAACACATTAGAATCAAAATTTTGAAAGCCAAAGGGAAAATCATGAAAACACCAAGAGAAAATGCAATTTGTCACATACAAGGGATCCTCAATGAAATTATCAGCAAATTTTTCATCAGAAATTATGGAGACCAGGACCGGGGGTGGTGGCTCACACCTGTAATCACAGCACTTCGGGAGGCCGAAACAGGCAGATCGCTTGAGGCCAGGAGTTTGAGACCAGCCTGGCCAACATGGCAAAACCCCCTCTCTACTAAAAATACAAAAATTAGCTGGACATTGTGGCCCACACCTGTAATCCCAGCTACTTGGGTGGCCGAGGCATGAGAATCGCTTGAACCCAGGAGGTGGAGGTTGTAGTGAGCCAAGATCACACCACTGCACTCCAGCCTGGGTGACAGAGCAAGACTCTGTCTCAAAATAATTTTTTTTTAAAAATTTTAAAAAGAAATTATGGAGAACCACAAGGCAGTGATCCAATATATTCAAAGTGCTAAATAAAAAGCCTGTCAAACAAGAATCAAACATCTAGCAAAAGCATTATTAGAAAGTGAGAGAAAAATTAAGAGGTTTTCAGATAGACAAAACATGAAGAAGTTCACTACCACTAGAACTGACCTACAAGAAATGCTAAAGGATGTCCTGCAGGAAAAGATACATTGGACAGTAACTCAAAGCCAAATGAAGAAAACAATCTCTCCATAAAGGTAAATACATGAGCAATTATAAAAGCTAGAAGTGTTATAACAATGCTATGTAATTGCACTTTTTTCCTACATGATATGAGTCTATTACATTAGAAAGTAATTATTATTCTAAAAGCTAGAATTATTGTAACTTTGGTTTTTAATTCTATATCTGGTTTTCTAAATAATTTAAGAGGCTAATGCACTAAAAAGAATTATTTATGTTTTTTAGCACACAATAAATAAATATGTAATTTTTTACCTCAATAACTGAAACAGGTGAGGATGGAGCTGTTAAAGGAGCAGCATTTTGTCTATTATTGAAGTTAAACAGATATAAATTCATATTAGCATGCTATAACTTTAGGATATTAAATGTAATTTCCATGGTACCAGCAAAGGAAAGCTATAGAACACATACAAAGAAAATAAGAAAGGAATTTAAACATTTCACTATAAAAAATCAGCTGAACATAAAAGAGAGTAATGCAGAAAATGAGGGACAAAATTGCTATAAGGCATGTAGACAAATAGCAAAATAAAAAGTATCTTCTTATCAATAATTACTTTAAATATAAATGGATTAAATTCCCCAACTAACAGGTATTGGCAGAATCGATTTTAACACAAGATCCAACTCTATGTTGTCTATAAGAAACTTATTTCAGATCAAAAAACATAAAAAGATTGCAAATCAAAGGATGAAAGAAGCTATTTCATGCAAATAATGACCAAGAGAGAACAGGGGTGGCCATAGGAAAATCAGACAAAATAGACCTTACATCAAAACAGACTACAAAAGCCAAAAAGGACGCTATATATCAATAAAAGGGTCAAGACAGCAAGAAGATATAACAATCAAAAACATATATGCAGCTAATGACAGACTATCTAAATATGTGAACCAAGAACTGACAAAATTGAGGAGAAGAGTAGGCAGTTCTATAATAGTAGGTGAAGATTCCAATACCCTACCCTCAATAATTAATAGAACAACCAGAAAAAAAATAAGTAAAATAATAGAGGACTTAACAGCAACAACAACAAAACCTAGATCTAACAGATATATAGAGAACTCTCTATATATTCTTCCCAAGTGCATGAGACATTTTCCAAAATAGAGCATGTGTCAGGCTAAGAATTAACTCTCAGTATATTTTTTTAAATACATATAACACAAAATACTCTCTTTGACCACAATGGAATGAAGTTAGAAATCAACAAGTGAAACTGGAAAATTTACAGATTTCTCAAAATTAAACAGTATGCTCTTAACCAATGGATCAACAAAAGAAACTAATTCAAAGGGAAATTAGAAAATCCTTAGATATTGTATAGCACAACTTATGGAACACAGTAGAAGGAGTGTCAATGGTTAAATTTATAAACACTTTTATTAAAAAACAAGAAAGGCCTCAAATCAACAACCTAAATTTATAACTTGAGAAACTAGGAAAGGAAGAGCAAACTAAACCCAAGGCTAGCAGGAGAGAAATAATGAAAATTAGAGCAGAGGTAAATAAAATAGAAAATTAAAAAGCACTGGAGAAAATCAACAAATCCAAAAGTTGTTTCTTTAAAAGGATCAACAAAATTGACAAACTTTTAGTTAGACTAATCAAAAAAAATAGAGAAGACTCAAATTATTAAATAAGAAATGAAATTGGAGATATCACCAATTCTAAGAAAGAATAAGGATTATAAGAGAACACTCTAAATAATTGTATGCCAACAAATTGTATATCCTAGATGAAATGGACAAACTCCTAGAAACACAAAACCTACCAAGACAAAATTAGGAATAAATAAAAAATCTGAATAGACCTATAACTAGTAAGGAGATTAGATCAGTAATAAAAAATCTCCTGACAAAGAGATGCCCTGGACACAGTGGATTTGCTGGTGAATCCTTCTGAACATTTAAAGAACACAAATTTTTCTCAAACTTTTCCAAAAAGTTGAAAAGGCGAGAACATTTTCTAACTCTTTATGTGAGGCCAACATTACTCTGATACTAAAGCCAGACAAAGAGAATTACAGGCCAATATCCTTTGTAAACATCGATGCAAAAATCCTTAACAAAATACTGGCAAACTGAATTAGGCAGCATGTTAAAATAATTTTACACCATGACCAAATATCATTTATTCCTGGGATACAAGAAGAGTTAAATATAAGAAAATCAATCAATGCAATGCACCACATTCAAGAATGAAGAAAAAAACGATCATGTCAATTGATGTAGAAAAAGTACTTGACAATATTCAACACTCTTTCATAATGAAAACACTTAACAAACTAGTAATAGAAGAAAACTACCTCAACATAATAAAAGCCATATAAGAAAAAACCACAATGAACATTTTACTTCACGGTGAAACACCAAAAGCTTTTCCTTAAGATCAGAAAGAAGGTAAGAATGCCAGCTTTAACCACCTCTATTCAATATTGTACTGGAAGTTCTACCCAGAGCAACGAAGCAAGAAAAATAAATAAATGCATCTAAATTTGAAAAGAAGATATAAAATTATCTCTCAATATAAGTTTGTATGTAGAAAACTCTGAAGATTCTACGAAAAAACCTGACAGAACTAATAAATGAATTCAGCAAAGTAGCAGAAATTAATGCACAAAAAATCAGCTGTATTTCTAGGTACTAACATTTTAACAATATGAAAAAAATTATAAAAAAAAATTTTATTTACAATAGCATCAAAAAGATCAAAATACTTAGGGACTAACAAAGGAAGTAAAAGACATATACAGTGAAAACCACAAAATCCTGCGGAAAGAAATTTTAAAAGATAAGTAAATGGAAAACGTATCCCATGTTCATGGATTGAAATAATTAATATTTTTAATATGTTAATTCTATCCAAAGTGATTTACAGATTCAACACAATCCAATCAAAATTCCTACTTTTTGCAGAAAAAGAAAACCTTATCCTAAAATTCATATAGAATCTCAAGGGCTGCAGAATAGCCAAAGCAATCTTGAGAAAAGAACAAAGCTAGAGGACTCACACTTCCGGATTTCAAAATTTGCTATAAAACTGCAGTAACAAAATAGTGTATTACTGGCATAAAGACAGACATATAGAGCAATGGAATAGATTAGAGAGCCCAGAAACAATCCCTAATATATAATCAGTCTTTTCAACAAATGGCCCTGGAAAAAAAATGTATATCCACATGCAAAAGAACAAAGTTGAACCCTTACCTAACATTATATTAAAAAATTAACTCAAAATAAATCAAGTACCTAAATGTGAGGCCTAAAACTATGTAACTCTTAGAAAAAACCACAGGGAAAGCTTTATGAGATTGAGTTTGGCAATGATTTGAATGTGACATCATAGTATAGGCAACAAAAGAAAAAAAATAGAAAAATTGGACTTCGTGAATTTTTTAACATACATCAAAAGACACTATCAACATAGTAAGTAGACAACACACAGATTGGGAGAAAAGATTTCCAAATTACATATCTGATTCTGATAAGGGATTAAAATCCAGGCTATATAGAAAACTTCTAAAACTCAAAAACGACAACAAAAAATCCCAATTTAAAATTGGGCAAATAAGTAATATGAAATAATAAAAATTATATACAAATTGTCTCAAGAAATAGAGGAGGCAAAAAAATCTTCTCTACTGATTTCATGAAGCCACATGGTTTTTTTAAAAAACTAATTAAACATTTCAAAAATATTATTACAGACAAATAACCCACATGATCATAGACACAAAAATCAATAAGATACTGCAATTTAAACCCAGGAATATATCAAAAGAATAATAAATACATCATTACTAGGTGGAGTTTTCCTCCCCTGATCCCCAAAGTGTAAGGCTGGCTTAACATTCAAATATCAATCAATGTAATTCAACATATTAACAAAATGAATGAGAAAAATTATGTAATTACCTCAAAAGATGTAGTAAAGTATTTGACAAAAGTCAGCACTCCTCATTGATTAAAAAAATTTCTGCTGCTGCAATTATACCAATAGTTCAATATCAAGCCCTGCCCCTTACAATCAGGAAAAAAGCGAGACTATCAATTTTCACCATGTTGTACAACAATGTAGTAAACGTTCTAGCCAAAGCAGTAAGAACAACAAAATAAATATTTTTAAATTTCATAATTATTGGAAAGTAAAGAATGAAATTGTCACTATTAGCAGAAAACATGATTATGTACATAAGAGAATTCAGCGACACTTCCCGAGCCAAGATGGCCGAATAGGAACAGCTCCGGTCTACAGCTCCCAGCGTGAGCGACGCAGAAGACGGGTGATTTCTGCATTTCCATCTGAGGTACTGGGTTCATCTCACTAGGGAGCGCCAGACAGTGGGCGCAGGCAGTGTGTGCGCGCACCGTGCGCAAGCCGAAACAGGGCGAGGCATTGCCTCACCTGGGAAGCGCAAGGGGTCAGGGAGTTCCCTTTCCGAGTCAAAGAAAGGGGTGACGGACGCACCTAGAAAATCGGGTCACTCCCACCCGAATATTGCGCTTTTCAGACCGGCTTAAAAAACGGCGCACCACAAGACTATATCCCACACCTGGCTCAGAGGGTCCTACGCCCACGGAATCTCGCTGATTGCTAGCACAGCAGTCTGAGATCAAACTGCAAGGCGGCAACGAGGCTGGGGGAGGGGCGCCCGCCATTGCCCAGGCTTGCTTAGGTAAACAAAGCAGCTGGGAAGCTCGAACTGGGTGGAGCCCACCATAGCTCAAGGAGGCCTGCCTGCCTCTGTAGGCTCCACCTCTGGGGGCAGGGCACAGACAAACAAAAAGACAGCAGTAACCTCTGCAGACTTAAGTGTCCCTGTCTGACAGCTTTGAAGAGAGCAGTGGTTCTCCCAGCACGCAGCTGGAGATCTGAGAAGGGGCAGACTGCCTCCTCAAGTGGGTCCCTGACCCCTGACCCCCGAGCAGCCTAACTGGGAGGCACCCCCCAGCAGGGGCACACTGACACCTCACACGGCAGGGTATTCCAACAGACCTGCAGCTGAGAGTCCTGTCTGTTAGAAGGAAAACTAACAACCAGAAAGGACATCTACACCGAAAACCCATCTGTACATCACCATCATCAAAGACCAAAAGTAGATAAAACCACAAAGATGGGGAAAAAACAGAACAGAAAAACTGGAAACTCTAAAACGCAGAGCGCCTCTCCTCCTCCAAAGGAACGCAGTTCCTCACCAGCAACGGAACAAAGCTGGATGGAGAATGATTTTGACGAGCTGAGAGAAGAAGGCTTCAGACGATCAAATTACTCTGAGCTACGGGAGGACATTCAAACCAAAGGCAAAGAAGTTGAAAACTTTGAAAAAAATTTAGAAGAATGTATAACTAGAATAACCAATACAGAGAAGTGCTTAAAGGAGCTGATGGAGCTGAAAACCAAGGCTCGAGAACTACGTGAAGAATGCAGAAGCCTCAGGAGCCAATGCGATCAACTGGAAGAAAGGGTATCAGCAATGGAAGATGAAATGAATGAAATGAAGCGAGAAGGGAAGTTTAGAGAAAAAAGAATAAAAAGAAATGAGCAAAGCCTCCAAGAAATATGGGACTATGTGAAAAGACCAAATCTACGTCTGATTGGTGTACCTGAAAGTGATGTGGAGAATGGAACCAAGTTGGAAAACACTCTGCAGGATATTATCCAGGAGAACTTCCCCAATCTAGCAAAGCAGGCCAACGTTCAGATTCAGGAAATACAGAGAACGCCACAAAGATACTCCTCAAGAAGAGCAACTCCAAGACACATAATTGTCAGATTCACCAAAGTTGAAATGAAGGAAAAAATGTTAAGGGCAGCCAGAGAGAAAGGTCGGGTTACCCTCAAAGGAAAGCCCATCAGACTAACAGCGGATCTCTCAGCAGAAACCCTACAAGCCAGGAGAGTGGGGGCCAATATTCAACATTCTTAAAGAAAAAAATTTTCAACCCAGAATTTCATATCCAGCCAAACTAAGCTTCATAAGTGAAGGAGAAATAAAATACTTTACAGACAAGCAAATGCTGAGAGATTTTGTCACCACCAGGCCTGCCCTAAAAGAGCTCCTGAAGGAAGCGCTAAACATGGAAAGGAACAACCGGTACCAGCCACTGCAAAATCATGCCAAAATGTAAAGACCATCGAGACTAGGAAGAAACTGCATCAACTAACGAGCAAAATCACCAGCTAACATCATAATGACAGGATCAAATTCACACATAACAATATTAACTTTAAATATAAATGGACTAAATTCTGCAATTAAAAGACACAGACTGGCAAGTTGGATAAAGAATCAAGACCCATCAGTGTGCTGTATTCAGGAAACCCATCTCACGTGCAGAGACACACATAGGCTCAAAATAAAAGGATGGAGGAAGATCTACCAAGCCAATGGAAAACAAAAAAAGGCAGGGGTTGCAATCCTAGTCTCTGATAAAACAGAGTTTAAACCAACAAAGATCAAAAGAGACAAAGAAGGCCATTACATAATGGTAAAGGGATCAATTCAACAAGAGGAGCTAACTATCCTAAATATTTATGCACCCAATACAAGAGCACTCAGATTCATAAAGCAAGTCCTGAGTGACCTACAAAGAGACTTAGACTCCCACACATTAATAATGGGAGACTTTAACACCCCACTGTCAACATTAGACAGATCAACGAGACAGAAAGTCAACAAGGATACCCAGGAATTGAACTCAGCTCTGCACCAAGCGGACCTAATAGACATCTACAGAACTCTCCACCCCAAATCAACAGAATATACATTTTTTTCAGCACCACACCACACCTATTCCAAAATTGACCACATACTTGGAAGTAAAGCTCTCCTCAGCAAATGTAAAAGAACAGAAATTATAACAAACTATCTCTCAGAC